>NC_000005.10:179071128-179221574 GCF_000001405.40 Homo sapiens | reverse complement strand
ACCCTTCCACCCCCAGCATGGGGGAGGGCTGGGGTGGTCCCCGGGGTTGTCCTCGGTCACTCCTGCTCCTTGAGCAGGTCCTGGTCAGACATGGACTGTGCTTGGTGCCACGACTGAAAGTGGGGGGTCTTTGTGCCCAAGGGTCATGGTGGGTGATGGCAGCAAGGTCCTCAGCTGGGCCAGGGCCCTGGTACTTTCAGCTCCCTCTTGGCTGCTGGACCAGGTGCAATCACCACCATGGGCCATTGGAAGCTCGGGATGCGGGGGACAGAGCCAGATGCTGGGGTCACGCAGGGGTGCCTGTTGCCTGGGCCCAGGGCTTGTTCCCTCATTTGCGTAAGAGAGGTCCCGTGCCCACTCCACCGGCTACCATGAAGAAGAAACAGGAGGTGTGTGAAGTCCCTGGTGCCTGGGCATCTGAGGAACTCTTCCTCCTAGGAAGGCAGCTTGGTGGCACAGTGTGGCCCACCGTGCAGGGCTGCCCCAGGTCCCACAATCAGCTAGGAAGAGCCTGTGCTTGGCTGCAGCACCCCAGCACTGCTGTGTGCCTGGACTCCTGACCTAGAGGGGTCAGGAAGGAGGAGGGAGCAGAGGCAGGTGCTGAGTCCCTGCACGTGGCTCATGGCCGGGTAGGAGAGGGCCTCATTTGCACAGGGTCGGGCAGCATCTGAGACCTCCCGCTTGTGTTGGCTGCAAGCTCTTCCCAGGGGACCAGGACCTCACCCCTGCAGGGCCCACGCCCACCCTGCATGAACGCAGGGCTCAACATCAAAGGACGTGAAGGCCACAACAAGGGAAACTGAGGTTGGCAGGTAAAGAAATGCCTTGGAACTTGGATTTGAAGAGTGCAGAGATGGGGGAGGCGCAGATGCTGCTGGAGTCAGGAGCGTGGGCAGTACAGAGGGCATAGAGCGTGGAGGGGTAGGTTCCAGAGACCCTGAGGAGTGAGGAGGGAGCTGCCTTTGAGGGAGGGGGAGAGGCAGGTTCTGCTCCTGGCATGGACCTGGCTGCATGCGGGCCCCACTCCCTAGGTGGACGATGCAGCTGGCAGTGCAGCCGGAGGTGCACGTGCGGGCAGAGGAGGCAGCAGGCCCTGGACCTTCTGAGTGTGAGGTACCTGAGGCCTTCCGGGGAGCAATGCCAGGCTTCCAGATGATGTCCAAATCAGGGGCTCTGGAGCATGTACCGGACTGGTGACAGGGATTTTCCGCCTGTCATCTGCTGAGCCACTGGCCAAGCCTCCGGCCACATGGGTCCCGTGGCACTGGCTGTCAGCACCCCACTTGCCGGCCCCCACCTCCTCTGCGTTCAGAACACAACCCCTGGGAATTCTCCCTTCCTTTGGGACCCGTGGGGATCTTCGTTTTGTTCTGAAGTTCACAGTGAATATTTTCAATAAAAGACCTGCCGGCCTCTCCATCGGCCCCCACCACTTGGCTGCCGCGTGCTGCGGTGCCCCCGTGACATTACCCAGGCCAGCTCCCCTTCCCTGGGCCAACTGCCCAGCAGAGGGAAGGCTTGGAGCCCTGGGGGCTGTGGTGAGTCCTGGGGACCCTCCCTGGCTTAAGCAGATGCTAGGCAGGGGCAGGGCTTGCTGGCTCTTGTCACCCGCCCCAGCCTCTGAAGGCCCCGAGACCCCCGTGAATCCTTGGAGGTGAGTGGGCTGCAGAGGCCGCTGGAGAGTGGCACGGGGCAGGTGCAGAGGAGCCTCGGTAGTTCGGCGGGTGCTGGGGGGACGAAGGGGAAGTTGTGTTTGGGAACCTCTGTGGGGGCTGTAGACAGGAGGCCCCAGCCCTGGGGTGAAGAGGGGGAAGTTGTGTTTGGGAACCTCTGTGAGGGCTGTAGACAGGAAGCCCCAGCCCTGCTGCAGGACACCTCAGAGGGGCTCGCACAGCTGCTGGTCACTCAGCATGGCCCTGCTGGCTTGGGCTCAACCTCAGCAGCCTCACACCTCTGCTGGGCACCATTTCCCAAGGACACGTATCTGGGAGCCGGACCAGAGCCTGGCCCCTTTTCTGGTCATAGACCTTAAATACTGCAGACCTTCTCCTCGCCCCACACTGGGAGGTGCAGGCACAGGGCAGAAGAGAGTGGCCTGGTCTGATGCCTCAATCGTTCAAGAGAGCTGTGGCTGCAAAGCCAAACCATGGTGTCTCTCTCAGGCCAGCACATTTGGCTGTGTCTGTGTTTGTAAGGGCACACAGGACTCTCGTGGTTGCAAGAGACAGAGAGCTAAATGAATTGACCTGAAGAATTAGGATGTCCAGGGGTGCATCACCTTCAGCCATAGCTGGATTTGGGGACCTGAACAGTGTCAGCAGCACACGGGGCTGCCCTCATCTCTCGCCTCTGCTGCTCCTGGGGGAAGGAGGTACTTAGCAGTCCCAGAGTCACATTTTCCCAGCAGAGAGGAAAGCACGGGAGTCTTCCTGTGCACACCAACACACAGCATCAGGTTCCAGTGGCCTAACAGGACCCCTTGGGCACTCCTGGAGCTGGGGTGCAGTGGGATTGGCTCCCCATGAGCCATATGGGGTGCAAATAGGGGAGGGTGGTTTACTAGCAGAAAAGGTGTAATGGCCAGACAGGGCAGGCCACCGTGCTGTGCAACCCCAGGTGGCTCTGTGAGGGTGTGCAGGTGCTGGGCAGGCCAGGACCTTCTGTGTCCACCACTGAGGGGTGTCCTTTGTCCTCTGCTGTGCGGGGGTATGTTCTGAGGACTGGCCCGGAGAGGCCTTCTCTCCTTTAGTGCTTCCTTTTTCTCCCTGAAGCATGGCTGAGGCTGAGCAGGCCTGGGCTGGAGCGTCCATCTGTCCGCGGGGCAGCCCATCCCGTGGGAGTTTAGAGAACTGTCAGGACTGCCCCTGAGATTCGGCACAGCGGTTCCTGATGCGCTCCTGATGGCCAGGCCGGCCCCAGGAGCCCCTCCCCACCCTCCGATCCACCTCAGGTCATAAAAATGGCATTGGATGAGCTGTGTCTGTTGAAGTTGCAAAAATTAATTCAAAGTCAGTAATAAAGTTATAAAGGGCTGGGATGTAATAATCCTAATGAGCATCTTTTAATAAAGTACACCAGTGGGGCTCTGTGCTGATGGCCCCCGTGGGGCTGAGCCTGCCTTCTGCTTCCCAGAGCCTCCAAAGAGCCTGCCTGCTTCCAAGCAGGGCTTTCTGCTGTGTCCTGATTACACTTCCACATAAACATATTTCATCTTAATGATTATCTTTAGGGGAATACACAGCCACAGAGCGACTCTCTCTTGGTTAGTAAGAAATGGAGGGGATGACCTTGTTCCCGTTGACCTCCCCTGGGTGGGGCTCCTCATGTTGGAGGAGAGGCTGCTGGTGCTCCAGGCTTTGGTCCTCCTGAGCCTGGTGGTGGCCCCTGCAGGCCCTGGCAGTGCTTGTGTGCAGGAACTGGGCTGGCATTCTGGCCTGGCCATTTGCCAACATCATGGCCTTAGTCTAATTCCCTGAGCCTCCCTCTCCTCTTCTGGGCAGTGTGGCAGTTCTGGCTCTGCAGGGCGGTCATTAGGACTTACGTTTTGGGGACTCCTAAGCACTGGAAAAAGGATGACTTGTTCCCATCCACATGGTTGGCAGGTTGAGGCAGTAGCACAGCACCTCTGTCTGTGTGCAGGTGCCTCAGTGAGTGTGCCGTCTGCCCTCAGGCCATCCCCTACCTAGTGAGTGTGCCGTCTGCCCTCAGGCCATCCCCTACCTAGTGAGTGTGCCTGTCTGCCCTCAGGCCATCCCCTAGTGAGTGTGCCCATCCCCCCCTTGCGCCATCCCCTAGTGAGTGTGCCCATCCCCCCTCACACCATCCCCTAGCAAGTGTGCCATCTGCCCTTGCATTCAGCCAGCAGAGTCCAGCAGAGTGGGAAACTGCTCACAGGGGATGGGGCAGCTAAGGAGAGGGCTGGGAAAGAGCCCTAGGCTTGGAACCCAAAGCCCGCCCAACAGCAAGATGATAAAAAGGTGCCTCGCTACATTTTCTTCTAGCACTTCCATGACTTCCTTTTGATCATCTCATCCACTTGGAATCTGTTTTTGCTTAAGGCATGAGGTCAAAATTTGACCTTTTCCTCCCTCTAACCAGTTGTCCTAACATCATTAAAACAAAGAAAGAAACAAAAGCCATTTATCTCCCCAGCCTGCTCTCTTCCTTCTGATTTTCTCCTGCAGTGAGCAACCATTTCAGGTGATCAAACCGTATCCTTTCCTTAGTGTACATTTTTGCAACATGAGTGTTGCTGTCTTGCGTCTGTGTATCCATAATTTATGTAAGTCGCTCTGAATTGTGTCTCATTCTGTTTCTTACCTTTTGCACTTGGCACTCTGTTTTTAAGATCCATCCATCTATGTAGATATCAAACTTCTAACCTTGGTAGCACTTTGTGGGATGCCCCCACCACATTTGCTTCTCCTCTCACCCACTGATGACCCCCGTGTTGTTTCCAGCTCCCCTCACTCCACCCAAGCAATGCTGCAAGGGGCAGCTCCCCATTGCCTCCTTACAGACCTGTGCAAGTTTGCCCATCTGCAAGCCAGTCCATGGGGCCGAACAATGGCCCATGGGCCAAGGGTCAGTCCAAGGAGGGCACTGGGCTATCCGATAGACATCCTGTATCTTTAGGATATGAGCCGCATGGTGCTCTTCCTCATGATCCCCTCAGTAGTGCCAGACTGCCAGGTTGTCCCCTCCTGCTCCACCTCCGCCGTTTCCTAGCACCGTTTGCTACCTGTATCATTTACTAATTTTATTCACTGTATTGCTACTTGAGCAACTATTTATAATTACATGCAAATGAATATCAAAGACGATTAATATTAAAGTGGAGAGCTGGCACACGCTGGCAGTGTAAGGAGAGGGCGGCACTGCCCCCGCTGGATGGAGGCTCCCGGAGGTGAGCAGATCAGTCTCCAGGTCGTGGTCTGACTTCTGCTTCTCCGGGAACTGACAAGGCCCCTCCTGGGGAAGTCGTGAGCAAGGTCTCGAGGAAGTCTTGGGCTCAGCACAGTCAGGCACCTGGTAGGGCCCAGGTGGGGACCACGCGCTGGACCTGCAGCGGAAATACGGTCAGAGGGAGGGGGCTGACCTGTACGTCCTGCTTCTAAGCTCGCCACGGCCTGCCTCCAGCTCTCGGTGGGGGGAAAGCTGGAAACTTCTGTGAATGTTGTGCGTCCTCAGCAGAGGAGGGGAGCGCCCCTCATCGGCACATGGCCAAGCCAAGTACTGCCAAGAACCTAGGCCAGGCTCTCCTGGGCATTTTGTCCCCGGGCTACAGATGGCCTGATGGAGGTGGGGTCTTGGTGAAGACAGTTCACCCCGTGGGTCACGCTGCTCAGTATGGCTCAGTCGCTCTCCACATCTGGTGCAGAGCCATCACCTCAGGGTCACTTCTCGCCACCCTCCATGGGCCTCCCAGGCCATGTCTTCTGTGTTGGGCTCCCGTTTTCTCTATCTGTGTTGGGCTTCCGTTTTCTATATCTGTGTCTTACTCTTTCTTTGTTGCCTTTTTTGTTTTTGATGGTGCACACCTTTCAGTAGCTTCTTGAGAGGAGTGCTTGTCACATAAATCTTTTGAGAACTGACATGTCTAGAAATGTCCTTATTCCACTTTCATACTTGATGGGGAATGTGTCTGGATGCAGAATTCCAGTTGGACAATCATTTTCCTTCAGAATTCTGAAGGCTTTCCTCCACTGTTTTCCTGCATCGAATGCTGCTTTTGAGAACTCTGAGTCATTCTGATTCCAATTCTTTGTCTATGACCTCTCCTGTAACCTGATTTTCCCCCTTCTTATTCTCCGGGAGACTTTGTAGAATGTGGCTGTCTTCATGGCCAGCCTGGGATTCAGCTTTCTTGATGTACCAAGTCTGTTACCACTTGCCCATCTGTTTCCAGCCTCCCACAGTTCCCTTGTTGTTTCTTCCCCTCCTGCTCTGCCTATCCTTGGAGGCTTGTGACTTTAAATTTTTTTTAAATTTCTTTACTGAACTTTTAATGGGATTCTAGAAAGGAGCCAAATCAGATATCTGTGTTCAATCCGCCATTTTAACCTGGAAACCCCACATATTCTTGGATCTGTTTTTGGAAGTTTTTTTGTTTTGTTTTGTGTTTTTGAGACGGAGTTTCACTCTTGTTGCTCAGGCTGGAGTGCAATGGCGTGATCTCAGCTTACCACAGCCTCCGCCTCCCCGGTTCAAGCGATTCTCCTGCCTCAGCCTCCCGAGTAGCTGGGATTACAGGCATGCACCACCATGCCCAGCTAATTTTGTATTTTTAGTAGAGATAGGGTTTCTCCATATTGGTCAGGCTGGTCTCAAACTCCCAACCTCAGGTGATCCACCCGCCTCGGCCTCCCAAAGTACTGGAATTACAGGCGTGAGCCACTGCACCCAGCCTGTTTTTGGAAGTTTTATTCAGCTCCATTGATCTGTTTCTTTCATGACATTGACACAACTACGTTTTCATTAATATTATTTTATAATACACTGCATTAATTTGAAAAAAATATGCCTCCTCATTGTCATTCTTTTTCATTATTTTTCTGTCTGGTGTGGTCTTCCGGATGAATGTTGGAATCACTTTGTTGGGTTTTAACAATTATTTGATGGAGATTATTTGGCGGAGAATAATTTTAACAATTATTTTAACAATTATTCGACGGAGATTATTTGACAGAGAATAATTTTAACAATTATTCGACGGAGATTATTTGACGGAGAATAATTTTAACAATTATTTTAACAATTATTTGATGGAGATTATGCCAAATTTCTTGATTCATTTGGAGGAGGACCAACTTCCAGTCCAGGATTATGTCCATGTAGCTTCATTTACTGAGGTCTTCTTTTGTGTTTTTGGAGACCTTAGACTATATTATACTACTTTTTGTGTAGTCGTTGAACATTCATTAGTTTTTGTTTGTTCTTAGATACTTGGGAGTTTTGCTGTTATAGCTGATAAGCTCTTTTTTCCACTCTGCTTTCTTGCGGGTTATTCCTATGTTCAAGAAGTCTTGATCTTTGCATTATTTTATGTGAGATGAGGAGTATCTGTTCCTTGTGGATTTGGTTAAACTCTTCTATGGAAGCATTTCTTTGACTGCTCTTTCAATTTCTTCTGAGGTTATTGGTTTCTTCAGGTTTTCTACTTGAGCCATGAGTGGAATGTATATTTTCTATTTAGTCTAGGCCTATTAGAATGGTGCTTTTAATTTCAGATGTTTAGGGTTTAGGGTTTTATTGTTATCTCTGATTTTGTCTCAGTAATGGTGATTGTGGGCACGGCTTTTGAGTTGTGTCCTAATGTGTCTCAGTAATGGTGACTGTGGGCACGATTTTTGAGTTGTGTCCTAATGTGTCTCAGTAATGGTGACTGTGAGCACGATTTTTGAGTTGTGTCCT
This sequence comes from Homo sapiens, assembly GCF_000001405.40. Classification (NCBI taxonomy): domain Eukaryota; kingdom Metazoa; phylum Chordata; class Mammalia; order Primates; family Hominidae; genus Homo; species Homo sapiens. The sequence continues at coordinate 179,214,161 of NC_000005.10, read as the reverse complement.
AATGTGTCTCAGTAATGGTGACTGTGGGCACGGCTTTTGAGTTGTGTCCTAATGTGTCTCAGTAATGGTGACTGTGGGCACGGCTTTTGAGTTTTTGAGTTGTGTCCTAATGTGGTAAAATGTGGAACTTCTCCCGTGTGTGCTTGACAAGGTCACGTGTTCTGGCTGTTGGGTTTGAACGTTAGGTTTTCCTATTAATTCAAATAGTTTCTATCCCTACCTAATGCTGTATCAGACTTGTCTGGAATAAATGTATTACAGTGCTCCTATCACTGTGGCCTTGTCTCTCCTTCCTTGCACCAGGTTGAAGCTTTAGGAGCATAAAGTTTCGTATCTTTTGTATTTTTTTCCATGAGTTGTTTGTTTTATCAGTTTATCTCCTTAAATGCCTTGGTTGGCAATTACATGGTACGTTTCTTTGCCCCACTTGTTTTAACTCCTCCTGGTCATTTGGACTTGGTTATGCCATATGCAAGTAATTTGTAGCTGGATTTTGTTCCATCTCATGCTTCTCCAACTGCCACCACACTTTTGCTCCTGTTCTCGGCTCCCCACCCCCAGTGTGGCCCCTCCGGCCCTGCTGCACCTGCCTCTCCTTCTATCCCAGTTCCCAACTCCCCAGAGGCCCCCAGCTCGCCTCTGCTGGGCCCTCTGTTCCCAGAGCACCTCTCTGCCATGGCTCCAGGCCCCTCACAGCCCTGCGGTTACCTGTGGGGCACTGGGGACACTGAGGCACACCAGACCCCATGGTCTCCATCCCCCAGGGTTCTCTATCTGAGAGGGAAAGTCAGTTAATGCCCAGGCAAATTCACAAATGAGACAAGACCTGCCTGCAGTGGAGTGTCACAGGAAGGAAGAGCACGGGGTGCTGTCGGGAGAAATCAGGGGAGGGCTGATTTCAATTTGGGATGAAATAAGGAAAGTTCTCCCTTAGGAGCTGACATTTCAGCAGACACCTGAAGGAAGAGAGCAATGAGGGGGCGGCCATCCCATGGAGAGGGGACAGCAGTCGGCCGTGTCACTGAACAGTGTGGTCCTCAGGTTTTAAGCATCCCTGCCCCGGCCCCTGTCCCTGTCGTCCCCTAGTGGCACGCAGTGTGGCTGTGCAGGAGGCAGATGGGGGCAGAACATGCTCCTGTCTTTCAAGAGCTCTGAGTCCCATGGGAGGCAGCGGGCTCCCTTCCTTCTGGGTCTTTCAGGGGGCCTAAATTTGGCCAGCACAGCGGCAGCAGCAAAAAGGGCATCGCAGGTGAAGAGGCCAGCCCAGAAAAGGCATAGGACTGAGCTTCGCACAGGGGACAGCGAACACCCAGCCACCCTTAGCACTGCAAAGCCCCTGCCTGACCTCAGAGCCCACACCTGCCCACTGCACTTGCCCTCAGCCCACACCTGCCCACTGCACCCGCCCTCAGGCCCACACCTGCCCACTGCACCCGCCCTCAGGGCCCACACCTGCCCACTGCACCCGCCCTCAGGGCCCACACCTGCCCACTGCACCCGCCCTCAGGGCCCACACCTGCCCACTGCACCCGCCCTCAGGGCCCACACCTGCCCACTGAACCCACCCTCAGGGCCCACGCCTGCCCACTGCACCTGCCCTCAGGACCCACGCCTGCTCACTGCACCTGCCTTCGGAGCCCACACCTGCCCACAAAGCCCGTGCCTGCCCACTGCACCCGCCCTCAGGGCCCACACGTGCCCACTGAACCCACCCTCAGGGCCCACGCCTGCCCACTGCACCTGCCTTCAGAGCCCACACCTGCCCACAGAGCCCATGCCTGCCCACTGCACCCGCCCTCAGGGCCCACACGTGCCCACTGAACCCACCCTCAGGGCCCACACCTGCTCACTGCACCTGCCTTCAGGGCCCACGCCTGCTCACTGCACCTGCCTTCAGAGCCCACACCTGCCCACAGAGCCCGTGCCTGCCCACTGCACCTGCCCACAGATCCCACACCTGCCCACTGTACCCACCCTCAGAGCCCGCACCATCCCACGATGCTCCCGAGGTTGCAGACTCAGTCCCAGGTTTTCTCTTCTCTAGTCTAATCATACTTGTTTCTACAATTCTCATTCCCGCAAATCACCCCTCAGTGCTGGTGAAGTACAGAAGGGCTCCGGGCATGTGGACAACGTTGGACTCAGAGGCCTGGGCGCGTGCCCACTCCTCCTCTCTGGTGGTGTGGCTTGTCCGAGTCATGTAATTTTCCTGCTCCTTGGTTTGTTTCCCTGATGCTGAAATAGGACGATATGCTGATGGTGACACGCCTCCACCTTGGCGAGGGGATTGGATGGCTGCTGGGGGTATGGAGCTGCCACTGTGAAGGGCTGTGCACACACCCCTGCCTGGAGACTCGGGGTGTGCCTAGGATGCTGGCAGTTGCAGCCCTTGCCCACGTGCCCTGTGCACTGTGGCACTGTGGATGAGCCCGTGGCTACTGTGACCCACCCGTTCCCCTGATGGAATTCCCTGGACAGAACTGCTGCCTCCCCTCATTCCATCCTCTCCCTGTTTATTGATTGACTCTTCGATAGAGTCTTTTTGTTCCATTCTAGAGACTCTAAAACAGGATGGCTCTGGAGTGCTTCCCACAGTGTCATTATTTGGCCACGATGTGAGCAAAGAGATCTCCAGCTGCCATCCAAAAGGGGCCCTGAGCACAGGGAATGCCAGGAACTCGAAAGCTCTGTGTTACCTATTTAAAAGATGGGATCCTGCCACAGACACCTCCCTTCAGGGTAGCTGCAGCCCACCTGGGTATGACTTCTGGGGCTTGGTCAATCAGCACCCCCAGGGGGCCCAGTGCCTTCTTGTGGGGAAGGCTGCACACAGAGGAAAGGAAGGCCAAGGGCAGTGTCATCCTCCTGCCTCTGCAGGAGATGGGTGCGCTGATCACTCATCCAGGCGGGGTGAGTGCCGAGGGATACAGCAGAGGCTGTGTGAGCTCCCAGTCACCACAGCTCAGCAGGGCTGGGCTACACAGGGAGCTCCCAGGGGAGGAGGGGAGAGCAGCAAATAGCCCTCTTCTGCCTTGGAGGGACCAAGTGGAACAGGGGCTGTTAGACCAGGTAGGCAACCAGTGCAGGTGGGCAGGCCCAAGGCCAAGGTTGACTTCAAAGGGATCACTAGGAAGACGACTCAGGACCACGCCAGGCCCACTGGCCAGAGCTCCCTATAGCAAGGCTCTATTTGGGGAACAGGTCTGCAAGGGCCAGCATGTGGTCAGAGTCTCTTCATGGCCTGGGTTAAGCCCAATGTGGGAAAAACTGAGGTGGCACTCGTGATTGACAGGGTCAGGGTCAATCTTATTGTGGGGAAAACTGAGGTGGCACTCGTGATTGACAAGCTGGGGCTTCAGCCTGACTGCCGGGTCTTGTTGGGACAGAGGAGGACAGGAGGGGGGCTGGGCCAGAGCTCCTGTTGCCCCAGGTCTGAGGGCATTGCAGATCCCCCTGCTCTTAGGGCTTCTCCCCTTGTCCTGTCCAGCCTGAGCACCACTGAGGCTTCCAGGGGCCAGACGCAGGGCGTGGCTGTCACCTGCCAGGTGGCCCAGGCCCCTGTCTTCCTCTCCTCACCCACTTTGCCTTTGGGCCTTGGGCCGTCTCTCTAGGCACTGGTCCTGGGTGGAGGGATGCTCTAGAACATAATTTCCAAATTTCACCCCAAAATTATCACGATTAAAATAATGATGGCAACAATAATAATTCCATTTCAGGTGAAATTCAGATTCTAAATCTTTAGAAACCTTTGCTGTTTTTAATGGGCTTGCAACACACAGTTTAGTTAAAAACTCTGCCTGCTCGGCAGAAGCAGCCTCAAGACGTGCCCCAGCCCAGCTCTGTCCCGATGCGGCACCCATGCCCTCCTACGGGGAATGTCTGGAGGGGTCCCTGCATGGGGACTCTGGGGTTAGGGCCAGGAGGACATACTGTGATACCTTCTGGTGCCAGAATGACATTGACAGTGGCAGGCAGGTGGCCTGGTGAGCCAAGCCCTGTGTGTTTTGTCTCCAGGTGTGGCCCCTCAATTCACAGACCCGGGCTACCCCTGGGGTGGCCCCATCTCTTAATTCCTCAAGAGAAGCTGGATGTTCTAGATTTTTAAAACATGAAATCTCCCAGTTTTCAAATACTATCAACCAGATGGCACCACGTGACCTCAACGAGTGCCTCTGTGGTCTGGTTTTGCCGAGGGCACCGCCCGTGTGTGACCCCTAGTTTGACAAGGGCAGAGGGTAACGCCCGGCCTGTTCCCCAGGGAGGAAGAGTTTTCCTATGGAAATTGCCATCACTCTCCTTCCCAAGGTGATTCTGAAGGTGAGCTGTCTCTGTTCGTTGGAAATGCAAAGAAATAAATGTACAAAAATAGAGTGGCGATTCCTCAACCCCCCTGTCAGGCTTGAGTTGCTGGCGCTTCCTCTGGGAACGGCATGGATGGCCCTGAGTCATCCAGGCAGCTAAGTGGACTGCTCGGCTCCCCACAGCCCTGCCCGCAGGCCTGCCGGCCCCACCCCTGTCCCTGGAGTGGCCCTGGAAAGTCCTTGCTGTGTACATGCATGTGTGTGTGCCTGTGTGTGTACATGTGTGTGCATGTGTGTGCTTGTGTGTGTGTACATGTGTGTGCATGTGTGTGTGTGTGCATGTGTGTGTGCGCCGAGGGGACACAGAACTGTGGAGCTGGGGGTGGCACAAGGACCCCCGAAGGTACTGGAACCCCAGCAGCTGCTCAGCCCTGGCCCCACTTACTCCTCTTCTCTTTCCCAGCCCTCACCCTCCGCCTCGCACCTCCACTGTCTGTCTTGGTCTTGCCCACAGCCGGGCTGCAGGTTTGTGCCTGAAACTTCATGTTCAGTCTGTCTTGTCTGAGCCAGGCTGCAGGGTGCAAGGAGAGAGCTTCTGGCCGAGAGTCGGCCATGCTGGGATGCCATGGGTCTCCCCATCTGTAAAACGGAAATGGCCACGTCCACCGAGTGGCCTGCTGTCAGCACTGGGTGAGGAAGCGTGTGCCGGGATGAGGGCCTGGTACCAGGCTGCCTCACTGTCCGAGTGGCCGTGCCGCCTGCAGGGGCCTTGTTCTGCCTCCAGGGCCTGTCCTGGGCCACCCTCACAGGGAGGGAGTGCCTGTCCCTGCCTGGAAGAGGCAGCAGGAGAGAGGCGTTGGGGGTGAAAAGTGTTGTTCTGGAAGACTCTTTGTAGAGAGGTGGTGCAGCAGGGACGCTGGTCTCCCTCAGCTGCAGGGGCCTCGGGGCCTGGCCACCGCCCTGTGGGTCAGTGATGTCACGATGACCTGCAGCCCTGGGTCTGTCCCGGGCCAGGAGTCTCTGAGGACCTGCCTGGGGAATGCCATGGAGACCCTGGGGCTGGGACCTGGCTTAGACACAGAGACCAGTGCAAGGGAAAGGGGGCTTCCAGGACACTGGGGCTTGGGGGGCGGTGGGCAGTGTGGTCTGGGGCTGCCATCGATGCTGCAGGTCAGCCTGGCCAGCCTTGCTGTGGCCTTCAGACGGGCAGTGGAGGGCTGGGAACTGAAGCCTGGTCCAGGGTGGTCTCCAGGCCCGCAGGACACAGAACACAGCAGAGACAGCACTGCACAGAAGGCAGGGACGATATCCGGGGCAGACTCCCCAGGATGGCAGCCCCAAGTGGCCAGGGGCACACCCTGGGGGCAGGAGGTCAGTGCCTGCCCAGGGCCGACTGCAGCGGAGCTGCCACAGAGGGGTTCATCTTGGTCTCTGCACAATTCAATCAGGCCAGAGGCGGTACCGTTCACCTGGGGAGGGGGCCCGGGACCTGGCCCAGAGATGTGGGGCCTCGCTTCAGTGGAGGACTTAGCAGAAAGTTCTGGGAGGGGCCCAAGGAGACACTGGGGAACATGCACAGCCCAGGATGGGCCTCGGTTTCCCCAGTCATAACAGCTGGCGATGACACCTGGGACACCAGTCCTTTGGCACCTGGCAGCCCTTCGGGGGAGAAGAGGTGGCTCTACCCACTCCAGCATCGGGCAGTGTGGGCAAGGGGTGGCTCTGCCCACTCCAGCGTCAGGCAGTGCGGGCTGAGGTTCCCGACCTCTCCATGGCTGAATGCCAGCCCTGGGCTCCATAAGGCAGACGGTGATGCTGGGCTGGGTCTCTCACAGTCTCAGCAGGTCTGATCCATCGTGTGGAGGCCACTGTGGCCCCTGCTGTGGCTGGGGTTGCCACCAGGGGCTGGGGAACGAGCGGTCCTGGAAGTCACAGAGGTGCCTGTCTGGGCCCTGCTGTGTCTGAGACAGCTTGGCAAGTCTCTGCCATCTTCCTCTGCACCTCGCTTTCCTCTGTAAAATGGAATAATACCCTCGGTTCAGGGTGCTATGAGTTTTAAATGAGAGGATGGCCAAGCTGGCGCCTGGTAGGTTTGTGTCCGGGTGGGTTTGCCCTGCCGCTGAAGACGGTGTCCTCTCCTTGCAGGGGCCTCCCTGGACAGCCTGGACAGCCTCAGCCGCGCCCTGGGCGTCCTAGAGGAGCACGCCAACAGCTCGAGGCGGAGGGCACGCAGGCATGCTGCGGACGATGACTACAACATCGAGGTCCTGCTGGGCGTGGATGACTCTGTGGTGCAGTTCCACGGGAAGGAGCACGTACAGAAGTACCTGCTGACACTCATGAACATTGTGAGTGGGGTGGCTGAGGGGGCAGGGTGGGGCGGGGAGGGTCAACCAGGGGCTGGGCAGGCCAGAGAGGCCCAGCTGGGCCAGGTCCCCTGAGGCTCTGCCGATTTCCTTGTTAGCCGGAGGTGAGTGACACAGTCTCAGGGAGGCTTGCTGGGTCCCCAGGTGAGACAAGTTGACCATCCCTGACCTCAGTTCTCTCGTCTGCACATCGTGGGTGATGGTAACTTGGTGAGGCTCTTCACAGGCTAAGGCGGGTTTGTGCAAACTCCAGTCGTTTGAATGACAATGTCATTCAATGTCCCGTCATTTGAAAAATATGTTTTCTTGATGTTTGCCACTTTTAAAACTAAAATCATTTAAAAAGGCAACCTTATTTTACCTGAAAAGCTAATATAATAGTAAGACATAAAGTGACGTTATTCAGCCCCAGCTGGATAGCCCTGCCTTCTTCTCGCTCCAAACAGAAGCCCCTTTTCTGTTTAAAGTAGAGATTCACGTGCATTAGAGCGAGGGCCAGACACCAACCCAGGGCCCCTCCTTAAAGCTCGCAGTGGGAGGAATTGGGGAGGGAATTCCTTTCTCCCTGTGAGTCTGGGCTATTGAAAGGGGTGTCTATGTGCCACCTTCGTCTTCTGGGCACCTGCCCATGGTCTGCCTAACACTAAGAGATTAAAGAACCACCTCCCCCTCATTCCATACCCCCAACAACCTAAGCAGGAGGTGCCAGGATGCTGAACCGTGTGTGGGTGGAGGCTGTGCAGACCTTTCCTCTCTCTGCCTCATGTGGTCAGAGCCACTGTGGGGATGAGGGGCGTCCAGTCTTCAAAATGCAGGCTCCCAGGGGAGCAGACTGGCTTGGCTGAGTCCTGCAGGGAAAAGAAGGGGGTGAGAAGGAGGACCAGGGCACGGCCTGGAATGTGAGATGCTGCCAGTGGGGCCCTAGGGGCAGGGGGGTATTTGTGGGAGGAAGCCGGGGCTTAGGGAGGGCTGGAGGTGGTGTGGAAGCCGGGCAGGTGGGAAGTTCTAGAACCCCGTGCTGCGTGTCCACACCTGTGGATGAATGAGGTCCTCTGGGGCCGGGCTAGAGGCAGGCAGCAGGGTGTGCAGGTCTGCTCAGGATCTGCTGCCCAGCTCTGCTTTTCGGACCAGGGGTGAGCCCCTCCAGGAGCCAAGCTGACACATGGGTCAGAGTCCCCAGGGCCCTGGTGAAAAGATACCTCAGGGGCAGGAGGGGATGTGAGTGAGCTGAACACTGGACAGAGACACCACCTTCATGCTCACTTTCCTCTTGACCGGTCTTGGGTGAGTCAGCTAGCCCTCTGGAGCCCAGCCTTATCCGTACAGGGGGCCGAAGTCCGCTGCATCGGCAGAATTCGTTTTATTTGGGAGAGCGTTGTCACACTTACCCTCATCTTATTTTTGAAACGTACCTTTAATGCAATAATCATAATAACGGCCGGGTGCGGTGGCTCACGCCTGTAATCCCAGCACTTTGGGAGGCCGAGGTGGGCGGATCACGAGGTCAGGAGATCGAGACCACGGTGAAACCCCGTCTCTACTAAAAATACAAAAAATTAGCCGGGCGTGGTGGCGGGCGCCTGTAGTCCCAGCTACTCAGGAGGCTGAGGCAGGAGAATGGCGTGAACCTGGGAGGCGGAGCTTGCAGTGAGCTGAGATCGCACCACTGCACTCTAGCCTCAGTGACAGAGCGAGACTCCGTCTCAAAAATAATAATAATAATAATAATAATAATAACAATAAAACCATAATGGCTACATTATCGAGCCCCTACTATGTGACTGTGCCGGGCCCATGCTGGGCACTTGCCATGCTAAATTATCTTGGGAAGTCCTCATGCTAGGTCTGTGAGACTGGCAGGTATAAAATCTTGGCTGCCTTCACAATATGAGTTCTTCCCCTAGCATTATGTCGCCTTCCAACCCAGCGGGGAAAGGACTGGGCTTGGAATTACAGTCCGATGGCGACTCCAGGCCTCGCCTTTTCCAGGCGCGTCGTTGGGAACGCTGCTCCCGTCCTCTGAGCCTTAGTTTTCTCATCTGTAAAATGGGCCAGTGTTTTCATCGTGGGGGTTGATGTGATTACATGAGATAATGTCAGTGAATGTGCTTTTCAGTCTCTCAGTAGGGTGAACACGTTTTCAGTTTCCACATAAAATGTGGTTTTGTTATCATGACAGTGGCACTGTTTAGTGACAGTCCAGGAGGGGTCACTTCTGATAGCCCACCAAGGGCGCTGACCAAATGTGGGGCCCGTGGTGAGTCCTTCATGAGGCTGGCAGAGGCAGATCAACCTTTCTCCTGGTGCCCAGGGTCTCTCTGTCACAACAGCTGGTTGGAGGATGTCTAGAACGTTCTCTCACTTTTGCCGTCCAACTTTATTCAAACCCTAGTGATCCAGCCGTACCCCCTATTTTGAATAATGGGAAGGTTCGTTTCTAGAAAAGCATGAGAAATTTAAAAATTCTTAAATTGAGATGAGTTTTATCACAACAGAGAAACCGTTTTAGGAGACAAGTCTCAGAAGTTGAGAAAGTATTTGGGCCGTGTCTGTTGTCCCCTGTTGCACAGAAGTGAGCACTGATTCATTCAGCAAACGTGTTGACAGTGTGCTTGTCATGGGCACAGTGGGGGTGTCCTGCAGAGGCGGCGGGGCGTGGCAGAGAGTCCCGGGGCGTGGGAGACCGGCGGCGGAGGGTCAGCGGGGGGTCTCTGCCTCTGATCTGAGCCCCAGCTCCCACTGCAAGAGCGCAGCGTGGGCGAGGGAGATAAGGCGCGGCCGTGCCTGGAGCATGGCATTGCCCTGACGATGAATGCCCTGCGTCCTCACTGAGAGCCTCTGCATGCCCGGAGAGTCCTGAGGACAGATCTAAGCTATGTCGGACCCTTTGGTGGTCTTGGGGAGGAGGGGCATTGAGCAAGTGGGAGCTTCTGAGAAAGGGTGACCTTCCAGAGCCCTGCTGTGCGACAGAGCTTCCCGCGGTGCTGGGGAGATGCTCGTCTCGCCCTTTCTGGGGCAGTAGCCACCGGGGCTCTGGAGCACTTGAAGTGTGGCTGGTGTCCTTGAAGAACTGAATTTTTAATTTAACTTCTTATTTGTTCCAAGAGAATTTTAATTTAAAAAATTTTAATTGCGGTGAAATATACAGAACATAAGTCACCGTCTTCACCATTTTTAAGCGTGCGATTCGGTGGCGTAAGCACATTCATGTGGCTGGGCCACCATCGCCACCACCGTCCACAGAACTCTTCATCTTGTAAAATTGAAACTGTGCCCATTGAGTTTCAGCCCTTTCCTCCCCTCCCCCCGACTCCTGGCACCCACCACTCCACTTTCTGTTTCTGAGAATTTGACTACTCTGGGTACCTCGCATAAGTGGATCAAACAATAATTGTCCTTTTGTGTCTGGCTTATTTCACTTAGCATGACATCCTCGGGGCCATCCACATTGCAGCATGTGTAAGAATGTCCTTCCTTTTCAGGGAGGACCAGTATCCCGTGTGTGGGTGGATCGGCCACATTTTGTTTATCCAGCCATCCATGGGCACTCCGGTGGCCCCCTCATGGGCTACTGTGAATAGTGCTGCCGTGAACGTGGGTGTTCCAGACTCTGTTTTCCGTTCTCTTGACTATATGCCCATAAGTAGAATTGCGGGACACAGGGTAATTCTTTCTTTAATTTTTTGAGGAGTTTCCACGCTGTTTCCCACAGTGGCTGTGCCATTTTGCCCCCCACCAACAGTGTACAGGGATTCTAGTCTCTCCAAATTGTCACCAACTCTTGTCTTTTTTTTCTTTTTTACGGTAGCCACCCCGAAGAGTACTTTGTTTGGATTAATTTTCACCTGGATGGAAGCCGCAGTGTGGCTGGCAGCTGCTGTGCTGAACAGGGCAGGGTTGGGCCTGTGCACAGAGGATCTGCCTACCGTGCCCTGTCTCTGAACTTGGGTGCTATGGGGGCCTCGAACCACAACCCCAAGTGGCCCTCTAAGGCCTGGCCAGTGGCTTGTCACACTCCTCTTGTAAGTCCCAGCTGGTCACAGGGCTCCCCGTGGCTGGAGCGAAAGCAAAAGCATGGAAGGACAGACGTGGCAGCAGCCGGCTGGGACTGGGCTCCCAGTGAGGTGTTTGTCTGGAGCTGTAGAGCAGGTGGGGCTGGGCAACGGCACATCCAGAGCCCGGGGTCTGGGGGCCAGCCCTGGGCAATGAGCTGCCCACTGAACTGGATGCAGAGAATGGTGGCACAGCCTGTGCCCTGGGAAAGGCCGTCGAGCCCTGGGAGGAGGAGCTGGTGGGGGCCCTGATGGTGGGGACCCAGGGAATGCAGGCTCTGAGGAGGAGGTGAGGTGGTGGCAGGCTGAGTGCAGGCACAGCTCCACCCTGGCAGCCCTGCACTGCCTCAGTTTCCCTCATCATTTGGGGTGACTTCTGCCTGCAGAGCTCCCTTTGGGATCTCTTTGTGGCAGAGCCTGGGCTGGGATATGGGGTCCAGGGGTGGCACAGGCAGTTCAGCCTCATCGATCACCCCTGTGCTCCCCTCCCCAGTCTCCCTTGTAGCTGGTGTGGAGCTGCATGGCCAGTTTTGCCTAGTGGCCTGTGTGAAAGGAAGTGACCTGGGTCACCTGTGGACCAAGGCTGGTAAGAGCTTGGAGTCCCCTCCATCTCTGTCTCCCCTGCCACGGAAACCTTGGAAGCCATGTGTCCCAGTAGGTACAGCTGCAACATAGGCTCGGGCCCTCCCGACCCACCCCGCGCCATGGTGTGAGTAAGGAAACACGGTGTGCGGTGTATTGTGTTCAGCTGCTGAGATGGGGTGGATTCTCGGCATAGCCATCCTCCTCTGTCTGGTGCCCCTGGCTGCCGTTCATACGGGGGCCGGTGTTTATGGGGCGTCTATTATATGTCAGGCAAGGGGTGCAGCTGTGAGCATGACAGGACGTAACCCTGCTACCTTGCATTCTGGGAAGGGAGGCACAGACGATACTGAAGTGAAAAACAAACAGGATCATTTCAAATAATGACAAATGCAATGAAAGAAATAAAATAGTTAGGAGATGGAGAAGGAAGAAGGGTAGGGGAAGGCAGGCCACTTTCTACAGCTCAGGGGCTGGTGCACTGGAGATATCACGGGAGCAGAGGCTCACGACAACGGAAGGATGTGGGAAGAGGTAGGATAGGGATCGCCTGTTCCAGGTTTGGGGGAGGGGGCAGGCGGCGCCAAGGCCCTGAGGCAGGAATGGGGCCGGCTGGAAGAATGGAGGCAGCCTGGCCTGTCAAGCAGGGGGCACAGGTAGGGGAAGTCGGGGCCGGCAAGGCCGGCCGCCGCAGTCTTCCAGAGGTGGAGGGGAGCCGCCTGTGGCTCCGGGAGCAGTGGAAATCACTGGAGGGGCTGCTTCCTGTCTATGTTAAAGACAAGACGTGATATTCCCTTTTCTATGGGAAAGATGAAGCTGCCCTTTTCATCTCAGACTTGCCAGAAGGGAAGCGGCTTGGAAATGGAGCACTTCATGAGGCCACCTGGGCACAGAAAGGGGCTCTTTGGTTTAGGCAACCACCCACCTGCCCACTCCAGCAGCCCCTGCTGGGTCCAGTTTTCTTATCTTCCTCCTTACATCTAGAAAAGCATGTTTTTTGGTTTATTGAAATAGTCCATATTTAACACAGATGATTTATTTTATTTATTTATTTATTGTGAGACAGAGTCTCACTCTGTCGCCCAGGCTGGAGTACAGTGGTGTGATCTTGGCTCACTGCAACCTCTTCCTCCCGAGTTCAAACGATTCTCCTGCCTCAGCCTCCTGAGTAGCTGGGATTACAGGCATGCACCACCACGGCCGTCTAATTTTTTTTTTTTTTTTTTTTTGTATTTTTAGTAAAGACAGTGGTTTCACCATGTTGGCCAGGCTGGTCTTGAACTCCTGACCTCAGGTGACCACCCACCTTGGCCTTCCAAAGTGCTGGGATTACAGGCGTGAGCCACCGTGCCGGGACATTTTTTTTGCTATGTAAAATTAGCATAAATTCCTGTAGGTATGTGAATGTCTTCTCCCAGCAGTTAATTGTCTACTACGTTGTTTTAATGATTGCATAACATCGCACCATATGACTGTCACACACTTTTTACCTAACTTATTATTTATATGACATATTCACATAGCAAAACTTATTTCTCCATTAGAGGTCAGACATGCCACTAACTGTATCACGTTCATAGAGTTGAATCTATCGCTCGTGCTTACTTATTTCCTTAAGCTGAGTTGCTGAAAGCGAAGTCTCTGGCCAACAGATATGCCCATTTTTTAAGCTTTCTACACTGGAATGTTCTCTGTTATGGTTTCATCTATTCCCGCTTCATTGAGCAAATGACTGTCTCCCCACCTCCTCACACCACTGAGTCCTTTTGAGCAGTGGTAATTTAATTACAACGGAGATAAGTTTTTTTGTTGTAAGTTGTTATTTCCTTGATGTTAATGAGCCTGCATTTAAAAATATACGTGTATTTGTAAACAGAGATTATTTTATTTTTTTGCTTGGCCTATTCATGCCCTTGATTCTGCTGGGATTTGGGGGTGTTTTATTCATCTGAAGAGTCTGTGTACTTAAGTAGATAAACTTTTTGTCTGTCACATGTGTGGGAAATATTTCCCCCAGTCCTGTTGTTGACCTTTTGTTTTATTCCGCCTGGGATAGTTTTTGATGTCCTACATTTTTGTGTGTGTGACCACAGGGAAAGATCCTGCAGTCTTTCCCTTCCCAGGGGAAAAGCTTCTCCCTTGGGTGATGTGTTTGATGCCTCCTGCCCTCCCCAGAAGTTAATCTTCTGAGTTTCTGCCCTACTTGGCAGCTGTACTTCCCAAGCTCCAGTTCCTCACCAACCGCTGACTGTTCTTGGGTTTAGCCATAGCAGCCCTCCACCTGAATTTCTCCCAAAGTAAGAGGAAAGATAGGCTTAGTGCAGTGGCTCACACCTGTAATCCTAGGACTTTGGGAGGCCAAGGCGGGCGGATCACTTGAGGTCAAGAGTTCGAGACGAGCCTGGCCAACATGACAAAACCTCATCTCTACTAAAAATACAAAAATAAGCCGAGTGTGGTGGCACGTGCCTGTAATCCCAGCTACTCGGGAGGCTGAGGCAGGAGAATGGCTTGAACCTGGGAGGCGGAGGTTGCGGTGAGCTGAGGTGACGCCACTGCACTCCAGTCTGGGCGACAGAGTGAGATTCTCTCTCAAAAAAAAAAAAAAAAAAAAAAGGAAAGAAAGGTGTGGCGGGGAGATAGAGAATTCAAAGGAGCCAATGTATTACATGCAATGCATTCTTATTTCCCCTCAATATCTGGCTGCTGCAAAACTCGTCAGGATATTACCAGTGGGGAACACTGGCCTAAAGGCAGAGCCAGTAGTAACTCCCAGGCCCCAACGCACAATGAAAATGTGGGATCGCTTGTTCAAAGAGCAGAGGAAGGTGCCATACAAAGGGACTATTAAGCCACTTCCTTTCTTCCTTAGTCTCTGTCTCTCTGTCTCTCAACTCGCTGTTCTTTTTATTTGCTTTTTAATATTGTTCTAAGTGAACAAAAATTGGAACCTTGAATTATTAGCATGAATTTCTTATTCATCTTTAAATTGTGCGATGGCTATTTTAAATGCAAATATTAGAGCATTTAGCTTCTATGTGGGGTCACTGAAATTAAACAAATGTGTATTTTGTGGCTGATCCCTGATGGGTGCCTCAGGCTGACCAGAAGTTTATGACAGGCACAGCCAGACTCAGGGAGGCTGGGAGGAAGAAGAGAGGATTTCACAGAGTGGAATCCTGCCGAGGGGAGGCTCCTCAGGTACGGGGTCCTAGCAGAGTGAGTGCACCCCCAGCAGGAAGGGCACACCCACTGGGGTCTGAGAGCTTCCTGCCACCCCTGGAAGAACACATTGGCTGTGCCCTGGCCAGGGCGTCTGGGGAAGTAGAGCCAGGCACGCCCCCTTCCTACTGGTGCACTGCTCCAGCCCAGAGCGTATGGCCACGGCCAATCCCATCTCTATGCAGGTGTCACTCACGGGAGGTTCACCTCTGCCGAAACACGGGCTCTGGCCAGCCATCCACCAGACATGCCCCTTTCCTGCCAGCCGTGGGCGGGATGGCCACCACCACGCCTGCCCTGAGATGCCGTGGGGAATACATGCCTGATCCTGCCCCTGCTGGGGGCAGCTGAAAGCCTGTCCTGGGGAGATGGGACCATGCTGCATTGCCCCAGGAGCCTTCACTTACAAAACACACATGCAAGGGTGAGATGACGAAGAACTTCAAGACAGAGCTGCAGAGGGTCAAGCCCCAAGGTCGGGGCCTTCTGAGGATAGGCCCTGGTCATCTATGAAGTCAGCCTGTCCCTAGGGCGAGCCCAGAAACCTGAGCCCTGCGCTCAGACCCCATAGCCTGAGGGAACACCTGCTGCCCTGCATGTGCCCCCTGGATGCCACCTCAGACTCCCGTTCTCTGTGGCCTTTCCCCAGCCTCTGCTTGGGCATGTCCACACACCTCTGAGGCCCAGGCGAAGCCAGCCGTGCTAAGAGGGCACTGGGTGTGTGCTGAGCCTGTGGCAGGCAGGGGGCGGGCCCTTGTCCACAGAGGCTCTCTGCAGTGAGTTTTGTTTTTTTTTTTTTTTCCTTGAGATAGAGTCTTGCTCTGTCGCCCGGGCTGGAGTGCAATGGCATGATCTCGGCTCACTGCAACCGCCACCTCTCAGGTTCAAGCAATTCTCCTGCCTCAGCCTCCCAAGTACCTGGGACTACTGGCACGTGCCGCCATGCCTGGCTAATTTTTATATTTTTAGTAGAGACGGGGTTTCACCATGTTGGCCAGGCTGGTCTAGAACTCTTGACCTCAGGTGATCCACCCGCCTCAGCCTCCCAAAGTGCTGGGATCACAGGCATGAGCCACTGCTCCCGGCCTACACTGGAGTTTGAGCACACGCAGCTGTAGCCCTCCTGGCTGCTGGCAACCCTGGGATGAGTCTGGTCTCCTGAGGCTCAGCGGCCCTTAGCCTGGTCAGAGATGCTGAGGCCCCTTGGGGATGCCCACATTCCCCCGTCTAAGGGCAGAGGGGTCTCCCTTCCAAGCACTGTGAGGCTAGGAGGATGGAGTGAGAGCCGTGGGCAGATGTGTGGCCCATCCAGCTTTGCTGGCCCCCCAGCCCCGTCACTGGCAGAGTGACTTCTATTCCCTCTGCCTTCATTCTGCTCCTGCTCCTCCCAGCTTTCTACTCTGGCTCAGCCTGCAGCCTCCACCTTGCGTTGCTGCCTCCCCTGGGCCCAGCCGGGAGGATAAGGGGCTCTCCTCTGCCCAGGCCCGCCCCCCGCCCCCGAGGGCATTGGGAGACCACTGTCATGTTTGACCTTTCCTGCTTGGGAAACATACTCCCTGAAGTACTGGGTGCTGCCAGGCTGGGACACAGGTGACATTGCTGAACATGCCTGATACTGACCCTGGGGCTTTGGTATTTCTCACATTTTCAAAAACTTGCTCTGCCAGCGCCTGGGCTAGTCTCTGCTCACAAACCAGATGCTGTGGCCATGTGTGTGGGCCTGGGCACCCCTAAAGAGTGGGCTTGGGCCTGACAGGCGAGGCTGCCATGCTAGGAGGCAGCTCAGATGTGTGTGGCACCTCAAGTTTCGTCCCCAGGTACAGACAGGGACTCTTCTGCAGGCTCAGGTAAATGGGAGGCAGGGATGAATGCCTTGGAAGATCAGAGCCGTTGTGGAAGTAATATGTTTATATATGCATTTTTTTCTTTTTTGAGACAGGGTCTCACTCAGTCACCCAGGCTGGAGCGTAGTGCTGCAATCATAGCTCACTGCAGCCTCAAACTTCAGCCTCCCAAGCAGCTGGGACTACAGGCACACACCACCATGCCTGACTCATTTTTTAAAGATTTGTTTTAGAGACAGGTTCATGCTATGCTGCATGGTGGACTCAATCACCTGGGCTTAAGTGATCCTGCTGTCTCAGCTTCCTGAGTAGCTGGGATCACAGGCACGAGCCACCACGCCTGGCTACAGATACATTTTTAAAAGTAAAATCTATCTGTGCCAAGACTTCAAGAAATATAAAGCTTGGGCCCAAGGCTGAAGCTTCCTTTGTGGCTTCAAGCATTTCACTAAAGCGCTAATTTCAATCCTACTCTTCCCGAGAAGCCTAAGGCCTCAATGTGTTGCTTAAATATCAGGATCTACAAAGACCTTGAACTGTCTTTGTGAGCCCCTGGTCCCACCGCACTCCTTGTAGACAGGAGGCAGACCATTGCAGTGGGTGATACCCAGCCTGCAGCAAGGCCAGCGCTCAACCTATTGCTACCAGGAACACGTACTCTCAGGCCTGCCAGAGGCCACCAGACAGATGTAAGGCATCTCCCCCTGAAGTGGCCCCTTTTTTGGATGGTAAGCATTTTAAAACATCAGTTTTACATTAAAGTAAATTTGGACGTATTACTTGCATGAAAGCAAAATTCACGTGAATTTGTCAAGGTAAACTGGAGATTCTAAAGCTGTGTTGGCAAACTCTGGCCCCAGGGCCACCTGGCCCTTCACCTGTTTTTGTAAATAAAGTTTTATTGGAACACAGCCACGCCTATTGATTTATGAATTGCCTGTGGCCATTTTTGTGCTACAACAGTGGGTTGGGTAGTTGCAACAGAAACCATATGGCCCACAAAGCTGAGAACATTCACTATGAGGTGCTAAAGGAATTTTTGCTACCAGGCTGTGCAGAAATGTACTTGCTTAGTGCCTGCCTTGAGCTGTGATGGCCCCAGGCCTCCAAAGTGAGCATGTGCCTTTCACTACATCAGTGCACGTGGGTGTACGTATTAGGGAAGTACTGAGCACAGTGGGCTGCTCAGACCCCAGCCCACCCCCACACTAGCCTTATCAGCTCAAAGGACCGGTGAGGCTACTTCGGGGATTCTTTTTAAAGGATAGAATGAACTGCTCTTAACCGCTGTAGAACGGCAGAGCAGGAGGAGCAGGTTTCCGGGCATGCAGAATAGTCTCTCCCAGCTGTGTTAACTGCTTATGTTCTGGGAGAATGCCTGAGCCCCCAAAGCATCTCTTCTGCTGAGGGCAGACACGCTCCTAGGCCTATGGAGAACGTGGAATCCAAGGATCTTCTGCGCCTTCAGTCGCGGCTATAACCTTTGACCCCTCCCAGCACGAGAACATTCTCTGTACAGTATGTTCTACGACCGTTTTTTTTGAATGAATGATTTCTCTCTATGCCAGGATTCAGATATTTTTCCTCTTTTCATTTCTAATTTAATCCAGAAATTGGCCTGGACTTACCAGAGCCTTGCCAGGGTTTGCAAACAATCCGAAGGCATATGGGCTCAATTTCTCACCAACTTTCACGAGTGCTGAGACCGCATGGTGGCGGTGGGGAAGGCAGTGGTCGGACAGGAGTGTTTTCAGCTGGTCGTGGTGGAAATCTCGTAAACTGGCCGCAGAGATGCAAACCAGCCAGGCGGAAGGCGTCGCCCCAAGTCATAGTTCACGAGTCGCTGGCTCTGGTTCCTGGGAAAGAGAAGAACATCTCTGAAACTGGACACGAAACACGGGTCCCTTAAGTGGGGGGAGGCAAGCGGGGTTCAGGGTCTGCTAGTGGTGCTGTGGCCCTGGGGGTGTTGCTGGCACTGTTTCTGTTCCTCACGCTTGTCCCGCTGGCCTTACAGCCTGGCCCTGTGTGCCACCAGGAGACACAGCCATGAGGGCCAGTGGTGTGTGCGAGGCTGCACGCAAGGCTCAGAAGAGGGCAGTGCCCTCACGTGCTCACAGTAGCCAGGCCCGAGGGGCCCAGGTGGCTGAAGGCTGTTGGGAGTGGTGGGGACTCGGGCGACCGGAGAGGCCACGCCCCCCTGCAGAGCTCCTCGTGGTTCCACTCGCTTGTGTTTCTGTAGGAATAAGCAGACCACTGCTGCCAGCTCGCTCTTCCATGAGAAGCTGGAAATCTACTTTTTTTGGGAAATCTAATTATTTTTCAATGTGGGCCACAGATTGAAATTAAGAAGCCACACTGCACAGGTGAAGCAGAACACGGCTGCAGGACAAGTCTGGTGTGTGGGTGGCCTGAGTGTTCTTTCCAGCCTAGAAGGAAGGAGGCGACTGCCTGTCCTGCTGCGCCCTGTGCTGGTCAGTGCCAACTCCCGGGGCTGTTGGGAGCACCACTCGAGTTGAACACCAGGAAAGTGCTCAGTAGAGCACGGGTGTGGGAGGAGCATGCTGGGATTGGGAGCTGTCCTCAGTCATGTTCGGCACTCCCTGGACTCCTGGCCTCCGCATCCCTGCACTGGGGGAGCTCAGAGCACAGGAGTATGGGGAGCGGGATCAGGACACGTGATTACACCTTGGTTCATCAGGGAAGGGTGCCTGGGGCGGCTGGTCAGGGAAGGCTCCTCGGACAAGGGCCACCGCAGTTGCCTCTAATGAGGACTCCTGGTGGTGGCACAGCGCGCGCAAAGGCCTGGCCGCATCGTGAATCGCAGTGCGCAGATTGGGCCCTGCTGGAGCTTGTGGGGCTTGGAGAGCGGGAGCGAGGTTGATTTGTGGTCTACAAAGATAGACTCCTCTCTCTTAGGAGGTTTGGGGCTTATGCTTTCTATCCTTGGAAACACCCCTCCCCACCTGAGGAGGGGAACTCACATTTGCTGGTTTTGCACGTGCTGGCCCTGTGCAAGGAGGCACACCTGTGACCTCACTACCTTGCCCCAGTGGCCCTGTGAGGTTCCCTTGCCTGCATCAGGTCACTGAGACTGAGAGAGACATGGCCAGAGCACGGCAGATGGAGTCACATACCTGTGGGAAGGTGGCCCCTGTGCTGGTCCTCCCCTACTGTCTGGCCTGAAGATCGAGAGCTCCCAAATCCCCTAGCATGCTCCGCGGGTTCTCATCTCAGGCCTCACTGACCTCCCCACAGCATTTGGAGTCCCCTGGCCACACCCGCCTCTCCCCGCAGGCCATCCGCTCTGCCTCTTGCTTTGCCTTGGCTTCTGCATAGATCTACTGTGTCCTCCTGTTCTGAGGCCCACCCGCCTGCCCACTCACTCCCTTAGTGCACCCGGATAGAGCAGCCCTAGGTGCTGGGGATGTCGTGGTGAGCACGGGATCCAGACCGCAGGGAGCACATGTTCCAGCAGGGCTGGGGAGGCCGACAGACCAGTGATGGTGAGCAGGTGGGGAACACTCGAACAGGGGTCTTGTGGGTGGATCTCACCTCTGCTTCCTCCTGAAATGTGCAGCACCCTCCCCACCAGTGGACATCTCCCCACCTCCTCCCTCCTCCCTCCTCCGCAGACCTCCTGATAGCTGATGTGGAAGCCTCCCAGCATCCTGTCCTTGGCCTCCCGCGGGGAACTGATGGTTGTCAGAATGGGAGTTAGAGTCCCTGTGGACGAGGAGGGCCAGCCATCCACACACCCGGATGACAGCTTGAGGCAGCCTCGGAGCTTGTCTTGTGCAGGCTCCAGCAAGGAGGTGACAGCTGAACCACAAGAACAGAGGCGATGATGTGCCACGCCGGGCTGTCGGGCTGACCTGGCGTGGGCTCTCACTCCCTGAGGCCCCTCCCAGGCTGCCCCTGGAGCTGAGTTGCAGTCAAGCAATCCTGGGTCTTCCTCCCCAGTCCAGGGGTCTCCTTGGTGGTGTGTCTCAGCAGGGTTAGGGACTCCCACAAAGGTGACTTTGTATCGGACCCAGAGAGGGTCTGCCCACCTGATTTTTCACTGAGTACCTGGAAAAGGCCTGGCACGTAGTAGGTGCTCAGTAAATCTCTTTTGAATGAATAAGTGACTAAATGAATTCCCATAAAGCGACTGTGATCTCAGAGACTCCCATAAAAATGAACTCTATCTGTGGGTGTGGAACTCCTCGTGGCTGGGTGTCCTTATGCCTTCGCTTCTATGACAGAGGCTGTGTCTCCATCGTCCATGCTGACGTCTGAATGGCCAGGTCCCGGGATACAGTTTCTAGTTGCAGCAGGTTTGCCAAATTGCTCCTCAGAGCCTCTGTACTGACTCCCATGCCCACTTATGTGAGCCTCTCAATCTCTCTGTGCCTCGGCTTCCTCACTGGCACAGCGGGGATAACACTCACTCGCAGGGTGTGGGAAGGGAAAGATATCGCACGCGGGGAAGTACTCGGCGTAGGCGGAGAAGATCAGAGCCGACCAGCGAGGCGAGCAGTTGTTCACTCGGCCCATGATGTCTGGGAAGAGCCCCAGCCAGCTCCCGTCCTGGACAAGCTTTTTTCTCATGGGGGCCACCTGCTTGCCTTGGCACAGCGAGGACAGGGCCTTGGCAGCCAAAGGAGACGGTCAGCTGTCTCCACCTGGTAGTGGAGATAGTCACAGTGGGGTGATCCTTGAGCTGGTTTTGGTCACAGAGTTGGTGTCTCCCAAGTGGAAAGTGGGAGGGCATCATTCCACACAGAGGAGCCCCTTGTGCAAAAGAGGTGCCAGCCCTCGGCCACCCTGGGAGCCCGCTGGGGTGGGAGAAGGCGCGTGCGGCTGAGCTTGGCCTTGGTCCTGAAGCCTGGGGAAACACGGGAGTACTGAGCACCCAGGTTGCATCAGCAAGAATGCAGAACAGTCCCTGCCTAGTGGAGACGGACAGACAGCTAACAAACGAAGGCGACTGGAGATCACGATGGTGCCAGGAAGTTACCAGGATGGGACAGCACCCGAGGCAGCATAGGGTGCCCCGTGGGAATGTTCACAGAGTGAGGAAACTTCAGAGCAAGGGAAACTTCCCTGCAGCCAGACAGGAGGAAGGAAACCTGGCTGCAGCCTGCAAGACCTCCCACCCGCGCCTGGCAGGGAGCCTGGCCTGGGGGCTGCCCATGCTGGCCCTTCTGATCCTGAGCAGAAGTGATCACGGACCCTTGTGCTTCCAATAATTCGGCCCCTCTTCCTTTGGTTCTGGGTTTCCTGTGTAGCGGTGGGCAGGATTTCATCTATCTTTCCATCTGCCAGAGTCTGGCAAGGGAGCTAAGCCACATAAACAGACTCTGGTGGTGCAGGGGGATTGTGACCTGCTGCACAGAAGGGCAAAGCCGTTTCCCGCCAAGCCCAAGAGGCGCTGGAACATCTGCTCTGGGTGTTGGAAAGCACCCTGCATGACTGCGCTTTCAGGGAGGGATACGCTGGCAGCAGACGACCCTTGCCGTGAGCTTGTAATGCAGGACCCTTCTTGCAGCCTTCACCTTACTCTTGCCCTGCGCTCTGAGTGCCTTGGGGGCCCCTGCCCAGGTCGAGGGGCACAGTGCAAGGTGATGGCCTGCAGCCCTCTGTCATGCCTTCTCAGTCTCTGAGGGGTTCATACCTGCTCTGCCAGGGCCTCTCCCTTCTTCCTCATCATGCATGGATGCCTGGGGAGTAGGGAGGCTGGCCTGAGTCCTCCTCAGCTTTGCTCTGAGGTGGTCGGGTCTGACGCCTGGGCCACTTAGGCATGCTGGACCCCTGCCCAGTCCAAGCCCTATGCCTTGATGGGTGTCCACTCTACAGCCTCTGCCAGCCAGTGCCAGCTACCCACGCCCTGGCCCTCGCCAGCAGGAGCTGCTGCATCCCACACACCCCCTTCTGGAGCGAGGGGCATCCATGTGCTGCCTGAGGCCCATTCATTAACATGAGATCCCTCTCCATTCTAACCACCTGCTTGGCCACCATGTGGGTTGGCCTCCACCCTCAGCAGAGGGTCTCATCTCAGTGGGAAGTGGAGCCCAGAACCCCGGGGACTATCTGCATCTCACCCTAAGGCGGGGGCAGCGGTAGGGATAGGGCTCCGGCTCCAAGCCTGGTGTGGGCTCAGCAGCCCGCCCCCCACCCCGGCAGCTGCTTGCTGCCCCCTCCCCCACACCGTTCCTGTCCCCTGATGCCACAGCTCTCTCCTCCCATAGCGGCATTTTCCTTCCCTCTTTCCTTAGGTCACACTGGTGACAGAGCAGCGGCAGAATATGATGTGTGGGGGAATAAAAATGCATTGTTCTCAAATTACATGGTGGTGCTCAAACGGACCCAGGTGACCGAGCTCAGTCACGGGATGGGCCGGGCCACACAGCCTCTGAGACGGGCGTGTGGGGGGATGCCAGGGCCGGGGGTGGCACGAGCCCTGGCCACTTAGGGCCCCTCTTTGAAAGGAAACTCCTCACTGAGCCCCCCAGGGCTCTGTGGCCAGGGACAGCCGACAAGCTCAGCAGAGTTCCAGGGAGGCAGGGCCGTCCTGCAGCCACTGCTAGCAAGAATCAGAATCCCTGACTTTTCTCGGCCTTTCCCTGTCAGTGGCTCGCAGTGGCCGAGAGGCCCCTGGGGGACACTGGGCTCTGGCCTGAGGCCTCGGCCGTGTCCTTCTGCGTCCTGCAGCCTCAGCAGCACTGGTCCTTCCCCGTTCTGCAGCATTTCCCTTTCTGATGAGGCATCCGGTCAGCGGGTGGGAAGGTCAGTCCCTAAGTGGTGGCATGGCTGTTGTTTCCCCAAAGGCGACGCAGCCAGCGGGGAGAGCTCCAGGGCTGGGTCACACTCGCGGACGTGCCTGGGCACAGCAGCCCCTCCAGCTCTGGAAAACACAGGGGCATGTGCAAGCTGTTCACTCAGACCTCTCCCGATGGTGATGGCCAGGAGGAGAGCCAGGGTGGGTGTAAGGGCGAAGCCCAGGTGGACCATTCTGTGCATGGGGTCCCAGGGAAACAGCTTGGGCTGTTGGACCCTCCTGTAATTTGATGACAGTTTCATTCAGCCTGTACTAGGTGCTGGGGATTTCACTTTTGTCACGCATGTCCGTGTGAAGAGACCACCACCAGGCTTTGTGTGAGCAATAAAGCTTTTGAATCACCTAGGTGTTGTTTTTACCTAAATCAGTCTGGCCTGGTGTATGACAACATAAACTCAAGGATAGAGCCCAAAAACTCGCCAACCAAGCAAATAATTATGCTGAACCCCCTTGGGCACTCTCTAATTGGATGTCCTGGGTCCTCCCAATTCTTAGTCCTTTAATACCTGTTTTTCTCCTTTTATTCGGACGCTGTGTCTTCCGTTTAGTTTCTCAATTCATACCAAACTGCATCCAGGCCATCACCAATCATTCTATACGACAAATGCTCCTTCTAACAACCCCATAATATCACCTGTTACCCCAAAATCTTCCTTCAGCTTAATCTCTCCCACTCTAGGTTTCCATGCTGCCCCTAATCCTGCTCGAAGCAGCCCTGAGAAGCATCACCCATTATCTCTCCATATCACCCCCAAAAATTTTCACCACCCCAACACTTCACCACTATTTCATTTTGTTTTTCTTATTAATATAAGAAGACAGGAATGTCAGGCCTCTGAGCCCAAGCTAAGCCATCATATCCCCTGTGACCTGCACATATACATCCAGATGGCCTGAAACAACTGAAGATCCACAAAAGAAGTGAAAATAGATAGTTCCTGCCTTAACTGATGGCATTCCACCATTGTGATCTGTTCCTGCCCCACCCTAGCTGATCAATCAATTGAATTTGTGAACAATACACCCTCTCCGCCCTTGGGGTAATGTACTTTGTGATATTGCCACCCGCCCCCGCCGGACCCGCCCTTGTGAATCTACTTTGTATGATACACCCTCCCCACCCTTGAGAAGATACTTTGTAATATTCTCTCCCCCCAACTTAAGAAGATACTTAGTAATATTCTTCCCCACCCCCATCCTTAAGAAGATACTTTGTAATATTGTCCCCCCCTACCTTAAGAAGATATTTTGTAATATTCTTCCGCCCTTGAGAATGTACTTTGTAAAATCCGTCCCCAGCCCACAAAAAATTGCTCCTGGCCGGGCGCGGTGGCTCACGCCTGTAATCCCAGCACTTTGGGAGGCCGAGGCGGGCAGATCATGAAGTCAGGAGATCAAGACCATCCTGGCTAACATTGTGAAACCCTGCCTCTACTAAAAAAAAAAAAAAAAAAAAAAAAAAAACCAGGCGCACTGGCGGGCGCCTGTAGCCCCAGCTACTCGGGAGGCTGAGGCAAGAGAATGGCATGAACCTGGGAGGTGGAGCTGGCAGTGAGCTGAGATCATGCCACTGCACTCCAACCTGGGCAACAGAGAGAGACTCCGTCTCAAAAAAAAAAAAAAATTGCTCCTAACTCCACCGTCTATCCCAAACCTATACCAACGAATGGTAGTCCCACCACCCTTTGCTGACTCTCTTTTTGGACTCAGCCCACCTGCACCCAGGTGATTAAAAAGCTTTATTGCTCACACAAAGCCTGTTTGGTGATCTCTTCACATGGACGCACGTGATAATTTTCATTGTTGCTTCAACCTGAAACAACCCTGAGACACAGGGACTATTATTATCTCCATTTTATAGATAAAGAAACTGAGGCCCAGACAGGTTAAGTAACTGGCCCCAAGTCACGCAGCAGGATTGTGGCAGAGCCCATGCTGGCACCCATGAAATCTGACCTCAGAGTGGGAATATCCCCCCCACACTCTGCTAACCCCCCAAATTCAGGAGAGGGGGAGGGGCAGCCTCTTGCCGTCGTTAGTACAAACCCGGGAAGGTTTGTAATGCGACCTGTCTTCTCAACGTGCCTGCTGGAGTGCCACACTGAGGGGTGCAGCACATCTCTTGAGACCCTGCTGGGCTCTGTGCATTGATGAGCTGGCCTGGAAGTGGAGGAGCCCCGTCCCCACCCTGAGGCATCTGCAGAGGTATCAGCAGAGTGTGGACAGGCACAGGAGACGTCGCCTGAGGAGTGAGGGGGTGGCCTTGGGCAGAGTGTTCCTGCGCTGGGTATTGAAGGAGGGGACTCTGACCACCTCACTTTTTGATGTATGAACTGAGCCTAGTAATTCTGATCCTGGCCATTTCCGTTTCATGGTAGTTTGATATTTTGAGCAAGAGTCACGTTTCTTCTAGCATTCCCTCTGAAGCATCTGCTGAGGAGCCGAGGGTGAAGAAGATCTGCAATGGGAACGTTGATTCTCATGATAAGCCCAGGCTCTGGCAGCCCCGTTTAGGCACCATGCAATGCCTAAACTCTTCCTCCACGGAGGCCAGCAGACCTCTGTCCCCTGCTCCTGGCTGCACTCTCTTCTCTGCCTCCATCCTGGTGGTCCAAGCCTGGCCTCCGAAGGGGCACAGAGAGAACAGCCTTCTCCTCACTTATTTCAGGGGGTCCCAGAGAAGCCACAGAGCAGCAGGCCCCCCTCCCCCAGGCCTCTGACAGACTTTTCAGGCCTGGCTTGCTCCTGGACATGGTTTTGCCAGGTGGGCCACAGGCTGCCTCTGGTGGCCCAAAGCTCAGCTGAGCGAAGGACATGGGAACTTTCCTGAAGGTTGGGGTGGCTGCTGTTCCAGGGCCCCTGCCTGTCTCCTCTGTGGCTGGCAGGCCAGTAGGCCTCCCCAGTAGGGAGCCTGCACCGGTTCCCCCCTTTCTGCACCCCTCCCCCACCTTGGCAGAGGACAAAGTCACCTCTGCCCAGCAGCCGCAGGCCACCTCCCAGGGCTCACCATCCCCTGGGTGGAACTCTGCCACCAGTGAGGCAAACTTTACATTGCCATGCAGAGCCGCTCCTTCCTCATTGTCTATTCCAGAACAGAAACTTGGCTGCATCTTTGCATAAGCAAAAGGCGCATTACAATGTGTTTCCCCAAACAAGAGAGCCCTTGGCCTCTCTCCGCACAGAGATGGCTGCGGCTTTGAACATTTCCCCCCAAGGTTTAAAGATTCCAGGATCAATTTCTCAGACAGTACTCAAGGACATTGTCCCTGGGCTTCCCCTCCCCCTGCAACCTGGGAAAGGAGAGCTGCTTCTCCCCAGCACACGCAGGCCTTGGGTAGGGTGGATGCGGAGGAGGCCCCCAGGGCTGCTGGGGGGAGGGGAGGGGAGGCCCTTAGCTGGGGGCCTCCCCATGAGAGGGGTCACAGGCCTACGCTGGGTCATACATTTTGCCCATTTCCTGTTATTCCATATCTTCAAAGTGATTCACTCCATTCATTCAGCAAATGTTTACTGAGCACCTACTATGGGCTAGACACTGCTGGGAGCAGTTGCACGGCAAGTCCAAAGTTCCTGAGGTGGAGACAGGCTGCCTGTGCAAGGAGCAGCCGGGCTAGCCGCTGGAGCACAGGGAGCAGGGCCAGGGCAGCCCGAGAAGACTCAGCAGGGCCAGACCCTCCTGGCCTGGAGGTCACGCCAGGAACTGCGGTCTCATGCCTTGGGGTAGGAAGGGTTTAAGCAAGGAGGTCACTGCCTCTTTCCTTTGAGATATATTTTTTAGGATGAGTCTTTTTTTTCAAATGCTCCTGAGATATCTAAAGAATTGAGGGGCTGCACAGGGAGAGTGAGGATTCCAGGCCTGAACCAAAGCACAGGCAGCAGGAGAGGGCAGCCGGCTCTGGGGAAGGCTGGCTGGGCTGTCAGGAGCAAGGGTGCCATGTGGGGAGGTATCTGAAGTGACGCATGGAGAAGCCAGCCAGGGCCAGCGTGGAGAGGGCTCCGAATGCCAGGCGAGGGGCTGGGCCCTGCTTCCGAAGGCACTGGAGAGCCGTTGAGGGTTTTAGACAGTGGAAGGGGAAGGTGAGATCTATTCCGCTTGGTGATCGTAGTGAAGAATGGTGTGTGTGGGTGGGGGGGTGGGGAGGACACGAGGGGGACCGTTGGGGAGCCCTACCGCCTGTCTCCTGTCTGGCAGAGAAAGTGGGTGGGGCCGGGGGAGGAGGGGGATGTGCAGGAGGCAGGCATGTGGAGGTCGCCTTCTGTCTTCAGTTGCTCTTTTTGCCACATCAGTCGACTCTCTGCTCTGCAGAAATGTTGCCGCTGTGTCCTTACTGAGGACGCCAGTGTTTTGTCGGGAATTACACTGATTACTCCCAGTGGTTCCCATGCCCAGGTGGGCCCTGCAGGCCTCTGGCCAGGGCTGGGCAGGAAATTTTGGCAATTTTGCAGCCTCCTGAAAAGCAGGTAGAGCCCTGGGATGGTAGAGGGGGCAGGACGGGGCTCACTCCTCAGGCCCACGGAGGACAAGGACACTGTGGAGCACCCCTGCCTCTCACATGCCCCACAAACCCTGCCTGCCCCCCATGTCTGTTCCTGATGTATCATATTAACCTACGGGGACTGAGAGGCTGGACAGCAGAAGGAGCCCGGCCCCGGACTGTGGGTTGGACTTTGCCATAGCACACGCAGGGGCAGGAGAACCACCCAGGCCAGTGGTCAGTGGTCTCTGGGCCACAGTGCCCCATGGGGTTCCTGACTGCTGGGAGGGGCTGCTGAGACCTGGCCTGGGAGGGGGCCAAGTTGAGGGCTCCGGAGCAGGATCCCAGGCCCAGCAGCCACCCAGAGGAGCCAGGAGGCCATCGCAAGCCCCACCACGGCCTTGCTCAGGCCTGCCTCCCAGAGAGTGGGCATGCCTGGGGAACTATGTGCTGTGCTGGTGTGGAAGGGAGGAAGGGACAGAGGTTTCCTGGGGAGAGGATCAGGGAGAGCGCACCACAGTTGAAGGCTACCAGGGAGGGAGGGCTGAGGGGGCCTTGGCTGCGGCCTGGCCTCCTTCTCCCTGGCTACCTGCTGGGAGCATTTGCAGGCATGCCCTCTCTAGCTCCTCAGCAGCCAGGGAGCCCCAGTTAATCTCCGAACCATCTGAGGCTTCCAGAGGCCAGGGTCAGGGCACCCAGCGCAGGAGGTGGGAGCTGGCTGCTGGCGGACAGCCCACAGTGGAGCTCCCCAGCCAGGGGCCCACGCCTAGCAGCCTGACACCCCAGGGCTCAGCTGCCTCGACCCCACCTCCAAGCAGAATGTGAGGCTGACGGTCTATCCCAGGGAGTTCCATGCCCAGCGACGGGGCTTTTGGAGTGGTTGGTCACCTCCTGTCCCAAATCAGGGAGCAGGATTAGATCTGCTCAATGTTCAGAAGGACACAAGATTCCTTCTTGAGATGAGAGCTGCCACCTTCGGCCCCAGGGGTAGGGCTAGGAGAGTGGGAAGATCTTGCGTCCTGAGGGGCAGGGCCTGGCCAGGAGCCAGGAGAGGGCCAGCCCCGCATCTCCTCCCTCCGCCCTGTGGGAGCTGCCGGAATGCCCTTCCAGAGCCCCAGCCTCTCCCTGCTCAGGCGGGGCAGATGACCCCTATTCCAATCCACATCATCCCTCACATCCGTCCCTTCTCTGCACTCATCCCCAAAGCTGAACCCCACATTCCCACATCTTGACCCCTTCCATCTACTTTCCGTAAGGCACCTGGAGTAAGCTTCTTAAATGCCCCGCCATCATCCTTCCTCCATGTCCTCCCACTGCTCTTAGAGAGGATTTGGAATCCTTCTCCTGACTTCGTGGTCTGGCCTCAGTGCTCCCCTCCCACCTCCTCTGCTGGGGCATCCCTTCCACATCCCCTCTGTGCTTGGAAGGTGCCTCGCTGCTTCCAACCCTGGGAGGTTTGCATGGGCTGCCTCCTCTGCCAGGAGCGCCATCCCTGCTTTGCTGAGCTACCCTGTTCTGTTTCTCAGGTCTCATGACATGCCACGTCCTTCCAGGCCCCAGTGGGCAGATTCCCACTAATATATCCTCTGGTTCCCTGCCTTTCCCTCGAGGCCGGTGATCCTGGAGCTGGTCTCGTAGCATCTGAGTGTCCCTCTCCGCCTCCTGGCAGGAGGGCTGGCTCTGATCTACTCAGAGCCACAATTCATGGTGAGGCAGTGGTTCTGCTGGGTCTGCTGGGTGCCAGCCTCAGCCCAGTGGGGAAGGAGAGACCAGGTCAGGCTCGCCCAGGCCATTCTGGGTCCCAGGGTGTGGTGGGCTGCACAAGAGGCCAGGGTCAGTTTAGTTTGAGAAGTCCCATTGAGAGCCTGTGAGGGGCCCGTGGCTGTGCTGAGGGTCTGTGTGGACGGTGAGGTCAACATTTACACGCTTAGGCTCAAACGTGGGGAAAAATGCAACTTTCTTTCATTCTTTTTTTTTTTTTTTTTTTTTTAGACAGAGTCTTGCTCTGTCTCCCAGGCTGGAGTGCAATGACGCGATCTCGGCTCACTGCAACCTCCGCCTCCTGGGTTCAAGTGATTCTCCTGCCTCAGCCTCCTGAGCAGCTGGGATTACAAGCGCTCGCCACCATGCCTGGCTAATTTTGTATTTTTAGTAGAGAGAGGGTTTCACCGTGTTGGCCAGGCTGGTCTTGAACTTCTGACTTCAGGTGATCCACCGCCTTGGCCTCCCAAAGTGCTGGGATTGCAGGCGTGAGCCACTGCGCCTGGCCAGGGCTTTCTTTCGTTCCTATATCTGGTGCTGCCCTCATCTCGGGCACTCAGCCCCAGGATAGAAGGAAGGCTGCAGTCTGGCCTGTGGGAGGTGGCTCAGTCTCTTCCCCATAAAGCCTTTGTCTCATTCCGCTTGGGCTGGTATAACAAAATGCCATAGACCCAGGGGTTTAAATCACAGGAATTCATTTCCCACAGTTCTGAAGACTGGGAATTTCAAGATCATGTTGCCAGCTGGGTCATTCCCCAGTGAGGATTCTCTTCCTGGTTTGCAGACAGCCGCCTTCTTGCTGGGTCCTCCCACGGCAGAGAGAGAGGATGCAGGCTCTCTGGTGTCTGTTCCTATAGGACACTAACCCTATCATGAGGGTCCCACCCCCATGAACTCATCTACCCCTAATTACCTCCCAAAAGCCCCATTTGCAGGCAGAGGCCTGGTGGGGGGCAGTAGGGATGAGTCCCCTCTGCAGTAGCCTTGCAAGCAGGCCTGCCCTCCTCTCCTGTAGGCCAGTGCCCCCCTGGGCTTGCCCTGAAGCCTGGTGGTGCCCCCTAGAGCCAGGTAAACCTGCAAGCCAGTCCCCAACTATCTTGCCCATGTGTCTCTGGGGTGCAGGGGACCCTGGCATCTGCTACACACAGCTGGGAGCTGGGCCACCCTCTCAGGCCTGAGCAGGCTGGGCCACCAGTTGGGCCCTGGAAGCCACTCCTACTGCTAGGAACCTGTCCCCTCTCAGGTCCCAGGCAGCAGCCAGGATCAAGCTCTTTTGCATTTCCTTCCTTCTCAGATGTCAGGACTGTTCTGTATGACCTGTGAGGTTGGGGTTGAGGATGAGGAGAAGCCTGGCCCCTCATCCCTGGCCTTTCTCCTCTCTCCTATTCTGCTCCCTTCAGCTGCAGTGGGACCTTCCCTCGGTCAGACTCCATGAGCCAAGCTGGCCAAGCTTTGTCGTGATAGAGAAAGCAATACTGTGGACAATTACAGAAACCCCTTCTCTCTTAAGAAAAACTGGCTTTTAAGGCTACTGTGCCAGCGTGGACTAAACAATCTAGTCTGACCCTCAAAGCTGGGCAAGGACTTCTGTGGTTTAGGGGTGCATACCCTACCCCCAGGACCTCACAGGGAGCTGCAGGGCACTATGGTTTACCAGCAATGAAAAACCGTTTCATTGTTTGCACAAGCACCATTCCATTGCACCTGCATGACGGTTTCATCCCCACAACAGCTTTGTGATGGGGGGACTGCAATCCTCATTTTACAGAGGAAACGGAGGGCGATGACCAAATGGCAAGGCTTCCTGGGGACCTGGGTGCCCTCCTCGGAGCTCCATCTTGTCAGCCACAGGGGCGAGATGGGTCACTGGGGGTCTAGAGGATAACCCTCAGCGCCTACAGGGGTTGCTGACCCACCCTCCCCAGACGCCTACAGCCCGGAGCCACGGTGACCAGCCACGCTCCCGTGGGTCTGATGAGTTGTCCCTTGCCTATAGGAAAGAGAGGTGGGAGTTGTGGGGAGCCCATTTACAATCAGATGTAGATTTGCTGGGCAGCAGTTGCCAAGAGGAGCTGCGTTTGGGCTGGATGGTACCCTCAGCAGGGTCCACATGTCATGAACTCTGCCCCACGATCGGTGCCATCTTTGTTCCCAGCACCGATGCCAGCGGGCCTCGGGATCCTTGTCTTGCACGCCCTGTATGCCTGTCCACCCATCCATCATGATGTCATTCTCCTTGTGAACCCTCGGGTTTCCTGAGGTGCCTTCCCACTGTTTTGAGGTAGCAATCACTGTTGCTCAGATGCAGGCTCTACAGATTGGAGTGCAGGGAGTGTGTGCTGGCCTGACGTGGCAGCAGGCTCCGGGAAGTATGTCTTGGCCATGTCCGGAGCTGTCAGCAGCCCCTGGGCTCGGTCTGCACACAGCCAGTCCCTGTTTCTCCACTTCTTGATGGTGCCAATGGCTTCAGCCTTTCAGCGGGTATCCCTGAGTGCCTGCCAGGTGCTGCTTAGCCTGGCTCTGGGCATGCAAGCAGGGAGGATGCAGGTGGCTGCCCAGCCCACAGGGGCACACAGAGGGCTCCAGAAATAACACACCTTGTGCTTGATGAGGGGCGGCTCAGGCCTGCGGGGGGCCTTCCAGGGGGAAGTGACTGCTGAGCTGGCCTCGAGGAGGAGTAGGGTTTGGTTAACCAACAAAGGAGGTGACAGGAAGGGGGCTGCGCTAGGGAGGGCCCTGGGTGTGTGCGGTGGGAAGCTGGAGGGTGGGGGCTCAGTGCGAAGGAAGCCCCTGACAGCCTCGAGCCCGGGATAACCTGACCTATGTTTCTGGAGGGTCTTGCTGGCTGTGTTCTGTAGAAGGGGAGTTCACCCCCCTGTTTTTGTGCCACGGGTCCCTTTGATATCTGCTGAAGCCCATTGGCACCTGCTCAGAATAATGGTTTTAAATGTGAAGAATGAAACACGTGTAAGAATATGATTGTGATAAATACAGAGACGGCGACTGCAGGAGCTCCAGCCATCAAAACAGAACAGGGAGAGCACATTGGGGATGCAGTAATATGAGCTTTTTATTAACACGTTAAAACATTATACCTGGTGGTGGGCCTAGAACCGCCCCCATTTCCAAGTAGCGATGCAGGTAGGTAATCCCCACACCCACCAGCTATAGCTTGGAGTGACTTCTGCCAGGGCCGGTCCCAGCCCTGCCTGTGCCGCGGGGGTCCATCACCCACGTTCACTGTTGAAGGGAAGGTTGTGTTTCAGCTGGAGGCTACAGCAAGCGTAGGGCTGCTTTCCCTGCCCACGTTCCATGTTCAGGCCCCAGGTGAGGAAACCCTGGGCTGGTGGGTGGGGTTGCTCAGGAAGGGGCTACAGTGATCCCAGCAGGTGGTGGTGGCAGCCTGGAGAGGCAGAGGGCAGGGGGCAATGAGGGAGGGGTCACAAGGTGGCTCCTAGTTGATGGTGACGCCTGGGTGGAAAGCATGGGAAGAAGAAGGAGCAGGTGGGGGTCATCCCATTGGCAGAGCCAGAGCCAGTCCTAGGGCCTGTGGTTCCCGCTGATGCCTCCCTGTTTCTTTCAGGTCAATGAAATCTACCATGACGAGTCCTTGGGTGCCCACATCAACGTGGTCCTGGTGCGGATCATCCTCCTGAGCTATGGAAAGGTGAGTGCACTGTGGCCAGCCGGGCCTGCCTCCACCCCCTCGGAGTGAGGGGCCTGGGAGTGAGGCATGGGCCTCCTTGGAGAGTGTGTGCGTTTGCCAGAACCACCCTGCCTCTCCCTGGCTCCCCTGAGGTTCCTATAAGAAACAAGATCCCTGCTCCCTTTCA
The DNA here is from genome assembly GCF_000001405.40 of Homo sapiens. Taxonomy (NCBI): domain Eukaryota; kingdom Metazoa; phylum Chordata; class Mammalia; order Primates; family Hominidae; genus Homo; species Homo sapiens. The sequence goes on along the minus strand of NC_000005.10, from coordinate 179,180,905 downwards.
CCCCTTGTTTTAAAATGTGGCCATTACTATTGTTCACTGAAAAGAGTCTGTTACTCCCAGATCCCAAGAGGAAGAGACATACCAGGCCACGGGGGCCACACAGGGAGGCACCAGGGGTGGTCAGGAGGCAGAGGGAATTGGGTAAACAGCAGCCTGAGTCCATGTTGTTTCTGCAGGAAGGACCGATGGGGACAGGGTGAGCTGGCTTAAGGTTGGCCAGTTTGAATAATTCCAGTGGGCTCTGGGGAGTGGAGCGGTCCTGAGTTAGTTTTCTGGGTAATGAGGGCAGGGGGATAGTGGCTCAGAGTGTGAAGTCTGATAAAGGAGGTGGCTGGGGACATGGGCGCTGGATTGGTTGGTTTGTATCTGAAAAATGTGCTCATGGATGAGTTGTTTCCTGTCTCTAAAGATTGGTTACCACTTAGCGGGGCAGTCCCTCCAGAGTCAGCAAGGCTCGGATGTCAAAGCATCAGAAACACGTGGTTAACACGACCCTCCCTTGGACTTCTGCCCCCGTATTAAATCTGTGGCCTCCTCTCCTCTGGCCTCGGCTGCTGTCCCAGCTGGGCTCTCTTGCCCGTCCCACTTCCTCTTGCAGCCAAACCTGGGACGTCCTTTCCTGGCGGTGTGCATGGGTGTGTAGCCGCCAGGGACAGTGACCTGGGATGGCAACACGGGATGCTGTGCAGACAGAGGAAGAGAGGAGCCCCACGGTACGGCCCGTGTAGACTGCAAAGTGCCTGTACCAGCCGTGTGGGAAGCACTTTGTATGGATGAATGCCCTTAATCTACAGGGCAGATGGAGGGGTGCACACTGTGACTCTGCCCATTTCACAGATAAGAACACCGAGGCTTAATGTGACTTAGTGACATGCCCAGGTAAGCAGCCAGGGCCATCCAGCACCCGAGGAGTCAGGCTTCTTACCCAGACAGCAGAATTCGAGCCTGTGGTCTGGCTGTGCATAGAAAATCAAATCATAATAGGATCAAATACATCAGATAATTATATAAAAGTTGAACTCTGTTCAAAGAGAATCTCAGTCTCAAAAAATAAAATCAAACTGCATACAACTTATAAGGCACACGATGTAAAAATGATGACGAAGGACTCCGGTGGCAGAAGGGATCCCAGGAATACTAAGTAGATTTGGGGCCACTTCCCTACACCCACCAAGCACCTCATTCCACAGTGACCGAAGGCACCCACAGGGCGGATGCCAGTTGCAGGCCTTCGTGTACCCCAAGAGAACACAAAACATCCCAAAACAAATCCTTGGAACAAAGGGGAAATTGGCAAAAACCTAACTATGAGAGTCTCTAATACACTTTTAAAAGCCTTTCACAGATTAGATGCTAATAAGGCATAGAATTTTTGAATGACACAATGAGTAAAGCTAAATTAGTAGTTATATCACTGTTTCCCTTGCCCTACAGAAAAAAAGAAAGATGAACCTTCTTTTCGAGGAATCATAGAACACTTAAAAATTACAGAAGTGTTTTGGGTCATAAAGAAAATATTGTGAATTTTATACAGCTAAAACGATTTTGTCCATCTTCGCTGATGAAATGCCTAAAAGTAGGGGTGGGGGCAGCAGAATTTATAAACCTAAAAAAATCCAATTCATTTGAAAACATTAAAAAAAAAAAAAACCTACTAGGGGCCAGGCATGGTCGCTCACACCTGTAATCCTAGCACTTTGGGAGGCCAAGGTGGGTAGATCACTTGAGGTCAGGAGTTTGAGACCAGCCTAGCTAACGTGGTGAAACCCTGTCTCTACCAAAAAAATACAAAAATTAGCCGGGTGTGGTGGCATGTGCCTGTAGTCCCAACTATTTGGGAGGCTGAGGTGGGCGAATTGCTTGAACCCGGGAGGCAGAGGTTGCAGTGAGCTGAGATCACACCACTGCGCTCCAGCCTGGGTAACAGAGCAAGGAAAGAGAATATTAGGACTGCAGTACAGACTATTTGGAACACTAATAAAAACAAGAGCACTACTGTCAAATCTTTTGGAATGTGGTTAAAGCTGTATTCAGAGGCAAATTCACAGATGTTTTCCAAAAGCTTCTTCCTTGGGTGATATGTTCGACACACATTAGCCCTGCCTTCAACTCAGTACATTTGAATGAATTTCAACAGCAACAAAACCAAAAACTTAAGGAAAGCAAAAATAAGGAAATAGTTCAGAAAAAGCAGAAATCAATAAATTAGAAAATGGAAGAAACACATAGAATCAATGAAGAAGAGAGCTTTGGAAAAAGCAACCCTCTGACCTATTTAATCTAGAAAAAAAGAGAGAAGGCACAAACTAAAAGATCAGAAAGAGTATATGTAATGTGACTACAAAAAGATACTTCTCCTGGCAGAAAGGAAAGCATGCAGGGCCATCTGCCCACTAGGAAGCTGTTGGGAGGCTCTCTGCAGCCGGCCACTTCGGAGGTCCAGGGATGATCAGTGGAGGAGGGATGTGCAGGGCATCCTCTGCCAGTGAATGCTGGCTAGGAGGGCAGAGAGAGGCTCGCTGAGCCCTCTATCCCAGGTTTGTGGCAGGGGGCTTTGGACCACACAGATGCAGAGCCTGGGGGTGGGCCCCAGCCCAGCAATCCGGTTCCAGCTCTCCATTCACAGGCGGGGAGGTGCGGGGGGGATCTTTGGACTATCCCATGTGGCTGGCTGCCTGCCTCCAGTGGAGTTCCCTGTTCCGGCCTTCCCCAAGCCGGGTCTTTCCAGCCTGTCCCTTCCTGGCCAGGATCCTCTGGTGTTTTAGGAATTCTCAAGCCTTTGGCATGAGAGATGGACAGAGTTATATCCTCTTTTGGAAGTTTCCAAAAATGGGAAACTCCTGGTCCTGGGGCTAGAAAGGGGAGAAAAGATTATCCCATTGATTGGTCTGGGTGCCAGGTGGCGGCTTGCATTTTCCCCCAGGTTGCTCCTACATTGTTTAAAAAGAAGAATTTTGTAATTGACTAGGGTTAATTGCTTACCAGTGCTGGCAAAGCTTTGGATCTTATTTGGCCTGAAAAGTGTCTGCTCTTTCCCAGTCTTGAGTACTTGATGGAATAAAGCCTCCTTTATTAATTACTCCTTAGCAGGCTCTATGCTAAATTATCCCGACCCTAAGCCTTTTCTTTTTCTTTTTCTTTTTTTTTCCTTAACTGCCTCAGGTAGGTAGAAGGAGTATGTGATCACAGTCAGAACATTTGCAGAAGAGAGTCAAACCCTGAAGGTGAGAATTTGAGGATCTCTATGCCAGGGACACGGAGATCCTGGGGAAATTGAGGATTTCCTGGGATGTGAATATTTCAAAGCTGACTCCAAAAAATGGAGAATATGCCATAAGTCCCATAACCATGGAGGGAACTCAAGTTCTTCACCTTTTCCAAAGTTTTGCCAGTGCATTCATACTCATTTGCAAGCATTTATCAGGCAAGACTAATACAATACCCTGTAAACTCATGTATTCTGAAATCTACCCAATGTGTCTTTCGTAGTCAATGGGACCCTTATACCCAAAGATGCCAAAGGTAGCCCGTCAGGACAAAGTACAGACCTGTCTCACTTCTAAAAATAGAAGTAAAAATCCCAAGGCATTAAGAGTTTAATTGAATAATGTATAAAGAGAAACTTCTACCGTGATCATCTAGGGCTTATCCTAGGAATGTGGAGATTGTTTAATATCAGGAAATCTATTCATACAGTTCATCACATCAGTTTCCAAATGACAAAACTCATCCTCTAACAAATACTGTTTGAAGGGCTTCTGTGTGGGAAGTGCTGTGCTGGGAATATTCACTGGCATAGTCTCTGTCCTCAGGGGACCGCTTCCAGAAGGCAGATCTAGACAAGGAAACAATTGTACCAGGGCTCAGGGCTGGATGGAGGAGACGCGGGTCAGGCAGTCTTTCCTTACAAGGTCAGGAAAAGCAACGGGAGGAAGTGACCGTTCCACCCACACCTGAAGATGGTCCAGTGAAGTCACCAGCATAGAGATGCTCTGAGTTCATAGGCTGGGAGGGGAGGGAGGGCAGCTGAACCCAGAGGGACGAGCACAGGGACAGGAACAGCAGACCCAATGCCAAAGACGTCGGAAGGAGCCGATCGCAAGGAGCAGAGCAGACCTGCGTCTCCCGCCAAGGGGTTTGGCTTGCCCATGAGGGCAGCTTTAAGCAGTGACACGATCCCATGTGCATTTCTAAGAAGATCACTGGCTCCTGTGTGCAGAAGGGGCAGGTGGGAGCAGTGGCTTAGGAGACAGTCACTGCCATCAAATGGGGGATGCTGGCAGCTGGACTGGGACCAGGCCTGGGTCCAGGGATACAGACAGGAGGACAGAGGAGGCCACTTCGAGAGGATGTGGCACTAGGTGGGTGAAGGCGGAGAGACTCTCAGCTGGGTAGATGATGGTATCAACCCCTGAGATTGGGGAGCACAGGAGGGAAGCTGAAGAGGTCAGCTGAGATGTGCAGTTAGAGGTACCTGGTGCCATCCCAGCGGAGGAGGCCAAGAAGATGTGGATGTGGGTCTGGAGCCCTGCGGGGTCTGGAGCTGGGGGTAGCAGAAGCAACTGCAGGCATGAGGAGCTTGCTGCCTAGGGGGAGCCTGGGAGAGAGGCCTCAGGGCTCCAGTGTTGAAGCCTCTGGCAGGGCAAGGGCGTGACGGCCCCGTAGCCCCTCACAGGGCACTCCTCCTTTTCCAGATCCCCAGAAAACTAGTAACAGAGGGCAACAGGACAACCAAGATTGTATTTAAAGGCGGAAAAAGAAGCACATTTCCCTAAAAGTGTTCTGCACAGCGAATTCTTAGGATATGAGTAGATGTTACAGAGGACTATAGAGGGGTCCCAAGGTCAAAGAAGTCTGGAAAATGCTGGTCAAACAAAGGAAAATGGGCATTCCTGGGGGTGAAATTTCCCGGAGACTTTCCTGTGGAGCTGTGCATGGTGTACCTCCGAGAGTCCGAGCAGTACAGGTGGTCTCTGAAAACTTTCTCCACGGAAGCTTCTTGCTCAGCAGATCCGCAGCCTGCTGAACCTGCTCTGGGGAGCACTGCCCTGGAGATAGTCTTGGAAACAAACAAACAAAAAAGACCCATAAACTAGTTACTGTGGTTCTGAAAATCCTAGATACTTGTATGTGACATGAAACTAGTATTGGAAAAGAGCAGAGACAAATTCTCATTGTTTGCTGTTAATCATGTGTCGGGAAAACCTAAAAGAATCCACGGTACAACTTGTAGAGTTAGGAGAGGAGTCTGGTGATGTGGCCAAATATCAGACCATTGTTTAAAAAATCAGTAGCTTCTGTGTGAACCAAAAACAACAGCCTTGGTAGTGGGGAAAACAGGGAGAGAAAATTTCCATTATGGTAGTAACCAAAAATGTAGAATACCTGGAATAGTCCTGACAAGACAATGGACCCATTGGAAGGAAATTGTACCTGATTAATGATAGGAAGAAAGTGATCACAAATGAAGACACAAATGCTGTCCTCATGGGAAGCTGGGTATAATCGAGAGGTTGGCCTTTCCCAGATTCATAGTTGGAAATGTTATGAAGTGATTCTAAGCACCATCTAGGAACACGAACGGTCAAGAATGGCTGAGACAGCTGCGGAACCCAAGCAAGGAAGAGACATCCTCCAAAGGAACATGAACGGTCAAGCATGGCTGAGACAGCTGCGGAACCCAAGCAAGGAAGAGACTTCCTCCAAAGCAACATGGACGGTCAAGAATGGCTGAGACAGCTGCGGAACCCAAGCAAGGAAGAGACTTCCTCCAAAGGAACATGAACAGTCAAGAATGGCTGAGACAGCTGCGGAACCCAAGCAAGGAAGAGACTTCCTCCAAAGGAACATGAACGGTCAAGAATGGCTGAGACAGCTGCGGAACCCAAGCAAGGAAGAGACTTCCTCCAAAGGAACATGAACGGTCAAGAATGGCTGAGACAGCTGCGGAGCCCAAGCAAGGAAGAGACTTCCTCCAAAGGAACATGAATGGTCAAGAATGGCTGAGACAGCTGCGGAACCCAAGCAAGGAAGAGACTTCCTCCAAAGGAACATGAATGGTCAAGAATGGCTGAGACAGCTGCGGAACCCAAGCAAGGAAGAGACTTCCTCCAAAGGAACATGAACGGTCAAGAATGGCCGAGACAGCTGTGGGACCCAAGCAAGTAAGAGACTTCCTCCAAACATCTTGTAAAGTGAAGATAATTAAAATAGTGCCATATGTGCATAAACTTTCATAGACAGTTCAGTTGAATAAAATAGTTGAAAATACCCCTCTTACAAATAACCTACCGTGATAAACACAGAATGCTTATTGTGTTATAAATAAATATATAACATAAATTTAATAAATAGGAAATTAAATTATCATGTGACAAATATAAGCCAATACAACATTCAACTATTTAAATCACACAAATCAAGAAGAAAATATTGGTTGTCAAGAGCTTTCTAAGCATAAATCCAATTGAAGGAATTGTAAAGGGGAATATGGATATATTTGGATAAGTATAATACCAAACTTCTGTCAAAAAACACAATGAAAAGGCAAATGACAAGCAGGAAAAACATTTGCAATGTGATAAATATATCTTAATATATAAAACCTCCTCTAAATCATAAGGAAACAAAATTGTCAATGGAAGGAAACAAAGAAAAAAATCCAAGTGGCTAAGAGAAAGCCCATATGGAAAAATATCTAACTCTACTGTTAAAGAAATAAATAATACACCATTTATAAAGCATCAACCCTGTTAAGATGAAGAGGGATTTATGGCTGGGTGAATGAAGCAGGCACACTTTGAGTATGAGTACAGATATTCTAAGGAAATGTAGCAATATTTATCACTGCCCTTAAAAATGTTCTTTTTTTCTTTCTTTTTTTTTTTTTTTTTGAGATGGAGTCTTGCTCTGTTGCCCAGGCTGGAGTGCAGTGGCGCGACCTCAGCTCACTGCAACCTCTGCCACCTGGGTTCAAGTGATTCTCCTGCCTCAGCCTCCCAAGTAGCTGGGATTACAGGCACCTGCCACCACACCCAGCTAATTTTTTGTATTTTTAGTAGAGATGGGGTTTCACCAGGTTGGCCAGGCTGGTCTTGAACTCCTGACCTCAGGTGATCCGCCTCGGCCTCCCAAAGTGCTGGGGTTATGGGGCGCGAGCCACCGCATTTGGCCTTTAAAATGTTCTTGATGTTTGCCCCCAGACATTCATTTCTGTGACCCCAGACATTCATTTCTACAACTCTGTTCCAAAGCAGTGATCCCAGCTGTGGGCCAAGTTTTAGGAACAAGACAAGGGTCATGGCATTATCTCTCATGTGAACAACAGCAAACAACCTATATTGTCCAATAATAGTGGTCTAGTTAAGTAATGATAAACCTATGTGGTAGAGTATTAGGCTGCCACAAAATTGCATTTTCGAAACATGTTTAATGGCATTGGGAAATGGTTACAGTCTAAAGCTGTTTGTTGTTTGAAAAGCAGGATCTCAGTTTTCCGTATGATCTCAATTTGGTGTACAAATATATTTACCAAAAAGACTGGAAGGAACACATCAAATGTGAACAGGATTTCTCTGTGGGCAGTAGGCTAATTAATTTTCATTTTCTTCTTTGTACTTTACTGAATTTTTTAAATTCAATATGATGAGCATGGTTTTTATTATTATTATTATTATTATTATTATTATTATTAAGAGATGGGGTCTAGCTCTGTTGCCCAGACTAGAGTGGAGTGGTGTGATCATAACTCACTGCAGCCTCCATCTCTTGGGCTCAAGGGATCCTCTCATCTCGGCCTCCCAAGTAGCTTGGACTACAGGCACGCACCACCACACTCGACTAATTTTTTTTTCTTTTTTTTTTTGTAGAGACAGGGTCTCACTCTGTTGCCCAGGCTGGTCTTGAACTCCCAGGCTCAAATGATTCTCCTGCCTCTGCCTCCCATAGCACTGGGATTACAGGTGTGAGCAGCTGAGCCTGGACCAGCATGTTTCTTTTATAAACAAAACACTGCATTTTAAATTTGTGAAATTTAAATTTTTTAAATGATTTTTTAAAAAATCATTTAAAAATGGTAGGATCCAAATGATGCCGTTTGACTGAATTCAGCACTCTGGAGAAAGGTCTCCGGTGGCATGCCACAGGGCTCTGTCACGCTCAGTCCTTTATTTCTGATTTCAATGAAGACATCAAAGAGAATTCATGCTTTCCCTTGGCACGTCATCTCTGCAGTGGGCTGGGGAGGAGTAATGAGGTTTCTGTGTTCCACCCTATGGGCGCTAGCTCACGCTTCCTGTGGCTGGGGCAGGGGGTCCACCTGCAGCGGGTCCACCTGAAGGAAATGGGAAATCTTGGAGTGAGGACGCAGGCTGCCATAGGTACGTGGTCTCCCCTGCATGAGAAGCCCACGCCCCTGGGTTAGCAGGCACCACCCTCCTGGCCAGGGCCTCCTTGGCCCCTGCCCCTCATGCGCCTTGCCTGCAGAAGTTCTGCTTTGCTGGGACCCCCACCCCTCATGCACCTGCAGAAGCTCTGCTTCACTGGGGCCATGCTGGGGCCCCACTTCCACTTTTGGCAGAGTTGGGAATGGGGCAGTGGGCAGGGGACCGGTTGTCAGGTGCAGCCTGCTCTTCCCAGGGACAACATGGGGACATGTGCAGGCCCTGGGGGTGCTGAGATCCATAGCCAGCAAACCAGGGCAGCTCATGCCTGTGGTGGGCACCGGGCAACTTCTGCGACCCAGGTACAAAGAGAACAGAGAGGACATAGGTGAACTGAGGCTGGCCTTGCTTCCGCCTCCTGCTGGGAAGGGGCTTGAGAACTGATGGTGGTGAGGGATTGGAAGACAGAACCGGAAGCTGGACGCACGCTTCCAGAGCTAACTCCAGATGGAACCAGCTTACCCCCGGCCCCGAGGGCTCAGTGGACCCGCAGCTGAGGAGGCAGGGGAGAGGCAGTGCTGGGTTGTGAGGGGTGTGGGACCCAGGACACCCCAGTGCCTGTTCCCAGGCCCCTCAGCCTAGCTTGGAGGACAACACACAGCCGGTCCCTCTGTCAGACCCCGGGAATTCAGGGATGATTGGCCTCCTGGAATGTTCTGGAACATTCCAGCATTCTGGGCCTTTTTTTCTGCTCCTAACTCATGCCTGCCCAGAGTGGGGCTCAGCAAAGCTCACCCCATACTCTGCCCACCTTTTTCTGCCTGGCCCTACCCCGCCTTCCTCCTAGAAGCCTCCCAGATCAAGCACAGGAGGCAGTGATGGGGGTAGGGGACGCCAGTGCCCATGGGGTCCGCTCCATCCCGGGGATCTCCTGAGTTGATCAGCTGAGTGTAGACTGCCAGAAGAGCCGGGCCTGCCCGCTGCTGTGCCCTTCTCTGGGGGGTTCTGGGCTGTGAGAGGGGAAGTGAGCCGAGGCTATGAGTCCTCGTTGCTTTAGGTTGGACCTACTGCAAAAGTGCAGGAAATAGTAGAGCAGAGGAGGTGGCACTGCTAGGGGCTGGGCTGAAGGCTTGGGGTAGAGGGCACAGCGGCTAGGAAAATGGGTTCTGGTCATGGGCCCTGGCTGACTTAGCGAATGTGCTGTGGGCCACAGGGCTTGGGAGCAGCGTCTGTGGGACCGGAGGAGCCATCTGCCATCCCCAGGTGGCCAGGGGAGAGGCCATCCTGGGAGCAGCAGTACACAGTGCACCTCAATGCCAAAGACCTGGCTGTTTTCTTTTTCCTATTTCAAACCCATCACAGACCAATACTTCCGTACCATACGTTATAAATGAATTACTGGGAAAAGCAAATGTGACAAAAACCGAGGTATCCAAAAACTCTAGGTCTGGATTTTTATTATTAAATTCTGTGGACATAAACTCAACCCGTCCAATTGCTATAAAAGTTTCTAGTTTCTGTACTTATCTCACTGTGGACTGGAACAGTTTGTGTCCACCAGGCACAGACTTCACTTTGCATAGCACTGGGGGAGGCCCTGTTTTCAGGTCTCTGAGGTGTCTGATGAACGTGGGAGGAGATGTATCCTTGTGCCCCCAAAGCATCCGGCCAGCCCAGAGCCTCTGGCTTCCCGAGCAGCTGCTGTTTAATCCCAGGGAGGTGCATGAACGAGGAGGGGAGAGGAGCCCTGTGTCCAGGCAGTAGCAGCAGACAAGACAGCGACAGAGTGGTGAGCACCGGCAAGGAATACAGCAGGGTGGCAGGCAATAGGGGACCATGGATGGAGCAGCCAGGATGGGGACTTCCCAGCCAAGATCTGGGGGCAAAAGGCCTAGCTCCTGTGTCCAAGGGAACAGACCCCTTTTGCTCACAGAGAAGCACAGCCAGGGATTCTCGATGGGGCTCTGGGGACAAAGTTTGGCACATGGTGGGGATGAATTCTGATGAGCTGCTCTTCAAGGAACCACAGGCTTCCCGTCAAGGAATGAGGCCCCCGTCTCTAGAAGAATTTTAGCATGGCAAAACCAAGGCGATGGCAGTCAGGAGGGGGCTGAGCTGTCCCCCCCACGGTGGGGACAGACTCTGGGGGATGTGAGACCATGACCCAGACTTGGGCAGAAAGTGGCCCAGATACTCGGTTCCTGTTATTCATCCCAAATTGTGACAGAAATAGACCAGCTCCCCACCTGCCGCTCCCCCATTGCCTGTCCCCCAGGCCTCACCAGGCTCCAGTGGGGATAAAATTGGTAGCACTTGTTTGAGTGACATGTTTGTCTTCTAGCTTATGAGAAGCCTCTGAGTTATCTCAAGTTTTTCCTAAAACAACATTTTTCTCCATTTCTTAAAAAAAAGCAGAAGAAAAGAGATGATCTTATTTTATACAATATACCACCAGCCAGGGAGCAGAGCATCGGCAACACTTGAGGTTGCATAGCAACTGGCTTTTCAATTGATTTTTTGAGAAGGTACCAAAGCTACTCAACTGTTCTCATTTTAAATATTTCCTAGGATGATGAAAATCAAAGCAAATGGAAATCAGAGACTTGGGGAGCATCAGAGAAGGACATAAAGTGTCTTGTTATAAAAAACCAGGTCAAGACAAAGTGTGGAATGCTTGCTGGAATTTTTCAGCATTGGAGGTGAAAGGTCTGAGAAATTCTGCATGTGAGTCTCTTAGTGGAAAGCACGAGAAGAGAGGTGCTGGGGGTGGGGGCTTGGTGTGCCCACCCACCCACCTATAGGGTAGAGGATTTAGAGTGGCCCAGCCATGGTGCAGGAAGGCCAGGAAGTGAAGGTCTGGGGAGGATATATCAAGGGCCCTGGGGATCTGGGACAGGGGATGAGGTGGGAAACACACCCCATGCCTCACCCCAGGGACAGCCCCCTGTCCTCCTGAGCATCTGGGTCCCAACCCCCAACCTGATAGGGGTGCAAGGCATGATGGCCCACCCACATCATCCTCCATCCACCTCCTCACCCAGACCTACCTGGGTCCAGAGAACTAGGAGGCACTAAGGCTGGACACTGCCCTTGGGAGGTGCCTTAGTCTGTTTGGGCTGCAATAACAGAAATACCTTAGACTGAGTAATTTATAACCAATGGAATTGTGTTACTCACTGTTCTGGGGGCTGGGAAGTCCAAGAGCAGGACGCCAGCAGAACTGATGTGTCGTAAGGACCCATTCCTCCTAGAGGGCACCTTCTAGCTGTGCCCTCGCATGATGGAAGGGTGAACAGGCTCCCTCAGGCTTCTTTTGTAAGGGTGCTAATCTCATTTATGGAGACTCCACCCTCATGACCTAATGACCTCTCAAAGACCACACTTCCTAATACCATAACATTGGTTCTCAGCTTTCAACCTTTCAAATGTGGGGGACACAACATTCAGATTCTAGCAGGAGGCCCCTCTTCTGCCTCCCCACAGGCCTGCACTGGCTCATGCCTGGGAAGGCTCAAGTTGAGAATCCTGTTCTGGCAGCTTGGCTCTCTCTGGGAATAGCTTCCCAGGCTTTGGGGAAGATGGCTGGAAACAAAATGCTGGAACGATATGGGAGTTCTGGCAGAGAAATGAGGTGCACGCCTCCTGCCCCAGCTCTCGTGGTTCTCTGTCGTGATGAGATTTGATCTGTAAGCCCTGCCTGGAACAAGAGACCTCCAGCCTTGGGGGAGCCCACTTTGCACTCAGCTGGGGGGCACGGTAGAACATGTGCTCACAGAGCAGGGATGGTGGGACCTTGTCCCTGCCATTCATTCTGGCTTTGTCCATACTCGTGGGACCTTTGGTGAGCAATTTAACATCATGGGGCCTTAGTTTCCCCCATAAGAGGAGGTCTGTGAAACCCCAGCACACAACAGGAATGACGACAATCATAAAGGCGTTCGTGCAAGTGACTGTTTGTAGAGCTTCTTCTGGGACAGGCACCGTCTGAAGCCCTTTATGTGACTTTATGCCCTCACCCCCACAGCAACCCTGTGGAGTAGGCGCTGTGATCATCCCCATTTGACAGTGAGGACCCTGGCTCCAGGGGGCGAGCGGCCTGCCCGGGGCCACACGCTGGTGGAGCCACTCTGCTCTGGGAGGAGGGGCTGGACTCTGTGATCCCGGCTGGTCAGGAGCACCAGCTTCAGGCTCCTTGTCCTGGTCCCCTGAGGGTCAGTTGCTCCCAACCAAGAGTGACTTTGCCACCCCTCCCCCCACCCGGGGGACATTTGGCAGTGTCTGGAGAGACTTTTGGTTGTCACGACTAGGGGGAGGGTTCCACTGGGTTCTGGCAAGGAGTGCCCAGGGGTGTGCTCAACATCCTGCCATGAACAGGGTGCCCGCCTCACCCAACAGGAATTATCTGGCCCCAAATATCTGGAGTGCTGAGGTTGAGAAATGTGGTCTGCTCACCAGAACCCAACCTCCCTGCTGTCCTATCCTGCACCTGTTTAGGAGGCTGGTCTGAGGCAGGAGGGCCCCTCTGGGATGGGGACGGTTGAGAAGCTTTGCTGAAGCCGCATCCCCTTGGGGGCATGAGCCAGCCCCAGCGGGTAGGCCAGTCCCCAGGGACTGGTGTTATACTCCATCAGTATCAACAGCACGGCAGAGACAAGGACAAGGGACATTTGTGGGCGCTGACTGCACCCTGCCTGAACTGTCATGGGCGGAAGCCCCCCAGCTCCAAGCTCGGAGCTGCAGTTGTGCCCATTTTGCAGGTGGGGACAAGTAAGGTAACTTGCCCAAGAACAGAGCAGATGAGATATTTCGGCCGGGCCTAGAGCTGCCCAGGTGACCTCACCTGCCACCTGCAGTGGACTTGGTGAGCCTCGGTCGCGTGGCGGCCTGCGGGGCTGGCTGAGTGCGCCTTGCCCAGCAGGCAGAGCCTCCTGGCGGGGCGGGCGCGGTTCCAGCGGAGGCGGCCTCCAGGCTGCTGATCCCCATCCCGGTTTCCTCCCACGTCTCCTTGACTGAAGGAGGGAAGAGCATAGATAATTCAGCTCCTTCCAGAGCAAACAATGGAAATGTCGGAGAGCAACGATTGGAACAGAACTTTTTGCTCAGGTCATAATTGATGTATTTAGGGTGAGGCCCAGAGGCTGTCTTGGGGCCGCTGGGGCCCCGGGAGCCCGGGTGCGGCCGCGGAGTCTGGGCGCCGGGTGCGTCCCCGGCCCGGGCCGCTGTTCTCGCGGCAGCAGCGCCACCTGGTGGCCGCTCGGGCCCGGCCCTTCCTCTGCCCGCCCCGCGCGGGGGGCAGCACCCCGACCTCTTTCCGGCTGTGGGACTCAGGCGAGTCCTTTCAGTTGTCTGAGACGCAGTTCGTCATCCGGAAGGTAGGAAAATGAAGTGGAAGCGAGGTGTCGTGTGCCAAGCCTGAGCCTAGCGGGGCGCTCCTTGCGGACGGTGACTTCCTGCTGGGGTCAGCATCTGCCGGGGCGGCCCTTTGGGCTCACTTCCCCAGGCCTCCCGAGAACGTCCCCGCAGCCGGCGCCTCCCTCCCTGCCCAGCCTGGCTCCTGAGGGTGCTCGTGTTCATTCCTTCATCACTGAGCGCCCAGCAGCCGGGGTCCTCTGGCCGCGTTCGCTGCCTCATCCTGGCATGGAGAGCAGAAGCCGGGATTGCTCCGTGAAGGGAGGAGTGGGGCTACTGAGGGCAGGCGTGGGCCAGGGCTGGGGCACAGACTCGGGCCCAGCAACCACCCGGCCCTCAAGGAGCTTAGGCTTTAGTGACTCAGAGGCCAGCGACAGCAACAGGCACATCCCCAGTAGGTGCCCCATCTGGCAGGTGACCGATCGCACGCAGGAGGAGGGACCCGGCGGGCAGCTCAGAGCCAGGGTCCCGCGGCCAGGATGGGGCTGGGACTTGGAGCTGGACGCAGCCTACTCGTCCACCCAAGGCCCACGGGCCCCCTAAGCTCCTGGCTGTTCCCTGAGGCCCGTGGGGTTACCCAGACCCCTGCAGGCTGGGCCTGAGGTTCAGGGGCCCGCAGTGTTTCCTCACCCTTGCCCTGGCCAAGCCTCCTGACAGCCCTGGGGAGCATTCAGCAAAGTGACCTTCTGACCCAAGGTGAGGGCCATCAAGCTCTTGCCTCCCTAAGGCCCTCAGATCTGCCCTCTCCACCTCATGGTGGGATCCCTGGGTCTTTCAGGCATGTCCTCAGACCCTTTCCAGCCCGGGCCAGGGGAGCCAAACAGGCTGAACCCGGAGGAAACACCATCCTTCTTGGGACCAGGCTCCCGGTGCTGCTGTGGGAGGGCCCCAGGGGCCTGGACGAGTGTCTGCCTCCTGCATCTGGGCAGCTCTGTGAACCAGCATAGCAAGGAGGGTCTCCATGTGGACATAGGTGGGCACTCATGATGGCCAAGGAGGACCCTGCACTCTGGAAGAGCCAGCCTGGTCCAGGGCCCCAGAGCACTCGGGCAGTGGAGCCCAGTTGGGAGCCCATGTCTGCAGTGGTCGATGTCACCTCCAAACAGGGGTGGCAGAGCCCTCCATGAGGGGTGACGACTGTCCTGGGGCCCCTGTAGAGGATCCGATCAGCCTCTTGGAAGCTCATCTGTTCCCGTGCTCTGAGCTAGGGTCAGCCCACTCAGGACTCCTCCTGCATCCTGGGCTGGATGGGCCCCTGGACTTCATCCACAGCCCTACTGCAGGCTTCTCCCGCCTGGCTCTTCTGGGGCCCTAGGCTGGACCTGGGAGTTCTGGGAGCTGCTGCCGCTGTGAAGAGTCTGCCCTCAGAGGCCCTGCCTCACTCAGGAGGTGGACCCTGCAGCTACCATGCAGCCCCAGGGCCTCGAAATGTCCATCCCCGGTCATACAGCACCATCTACCGCCCCCTGCTCTGGAGGCTGGGTGCCCGCGGCTGCCCCTGGGAGGGACTGGCTGCCCTGTAAAGTCCCTGGCTGGTCCTGCAGCCACCCCCTTTGCAGAGCCCAGGGTGCTACGGCTCACTCCTGGTCCCCCCCTCAGCACAGCTAGGAACAGGTGGAGTCACACAGACAGACTTTCCTAGAGGAGCCGTGCAGAGCCGAGCAGGCAGCTGGAAGTCAGGTGCATTCAGGACTGGGAGGGACGTAGATGACCAGGGCGAGCTGGTGAAAGACTCCTCAGTGGAAACAAGCAGTGCAGCCTCCCTCACTTCTGGAGGAGATCCATATATGAGAAATGTGTCTTCTTCTCGCTCAGGGGAAGCACAGTTCCCAGGCTTGATACATAGCAAGGGCACAGGATGGTGGGGGCTGGGGTGCCCCAGGCAGCAGGGACCCATCTGGCCTCCTGCATGCAGGCCAGGTGGCAGAGGAGCAAAGGAGGTCGCATCCCAGCAGGTGGTCCCGCTGGAGCCCAAGTGACCCACAGGGGAGTTCACTGCATGTCAGGACAGTATCCTTGGCTGGAGGTCTCAGCGGAGAGACCTGAGCTTGGCTCTTCCCTTGGGTTCCGACTGCCTCCAGTAGCGAGGGCCTTGCCCTGTCCACGGCCAGCCCAGACTTCCCTCCTGGGCCGCAGACCTGTCCAGCTGCCCCGATGTCTCTGCCTGGACATCAGTTTCTTTCTGTGAGGAGTCCTTAGAGGCATGCAGAACCCAAGGCTGCCTGTAGCTCTCATGGAGTGGGAGGAGTGGGTGGAGGAAAGGGGGCTCTGGGGTGCATGAGCCTGAGTTTGCGGATGGTTGTTTTGGGTGCTGCCACCAGGCAAACCCACTTCAGCCAGTTTTCAGTCCTTTCGAACCTGTGCTCCATGGGCCTAACATGGGTCCCAGCTACGGCTTGGGACTGATCACCCACAAGGGCTGCACCCCCAGAAGTGGGAGAGCTCCCAAAGCAAAACAGCCCAGCTCTTCCCAACGAGCAAGCTGGCCAGGAAAGACATTGCCGTGACCATGTTTCCTGCACTGCGGACCCCACGCTCTTCCTCTGGCACTTGCCGTCCCCTTCCCGCGCCGCCTCTTCTGCCTTGCTACCAATCCCCAAAGCCAGACACTGGTGCCGTCTCTGCCTCATTGCTCCCGCCCTGCAGCCCTGATGCCTCTCAGCTCCTGCCACCAGGTCCTGACCCTCCTGACGTGGCACCAGCCACACCTGCATGCATCTCAGTGCCACACTGTCCCCTTCTATCCCCACTCCTTCCTCACTGACCCAAAGGGCTGTTTTAAGAATGCACACAGACCTTGCCCTGGCCTCTGGGCACAAGGTCAATGTCTGGGCCTCATGGGTACCCCATAGCCCTTGAATGCTCCAGACCCAGCAAGGACAAGATCTCTGCCCCTGGGCTCCTCTGTGCCCGTCAGAGATAGGCTGGGACCTTGGAGATGTTGGGACGTTGGCAGAGAGAGAGAGGAAGCACAAGCAGCTCTGTGGCTTGTCAGTTAAGCTCCCAGTGGCAGGTTGAGTCCTGGGGTGCCCGGACACTGAGGTAACCCTCTCCTCTACTTCTTGGGGTACCCCCTGCTGGGACCCAGGCTCCCAGGGTCTAGCACACTCTCATGTCTCCTGAAGTCCTGCCTCCCAGGGCTCCCCTGGCCCCAGTGCAGCTTCCCCTCCCTGTGCCCATGCACCCCAGCCCTCCCCTCTGCCCCCTCCTCAGGGAGTCTCCTCAGAACCCCAAAGCCAGAAGGGGGTCATAGACCCCTTTAGCTCTGGACCCTGCAGCACAACCTCCTTGGGGTTGGAGAACGAAAGTGGCAGGCTGCCTTCTTGGACTGGGCCGAGAACAAAGCGAGGCAAGAACAAAAACACAAATCAATATTTCAATAAATTGTCTTGCCGCAGCAGCAAGATCACTTTGGCTGCTAAGACGGGCTGGGAACCCAGGCTGAACCACAGAAGCCAGCATCTGGGAGGAGAGAGGTGATCGGCCAGAGTGGATCCAGTCTGCAGGACGTGGAGAAGGGGCTGCCCACTGCAGGGCTCTTATTCCAGGGTTCTGGAATAAAGTGGTGACGGGGAGGATGCGTTGTTTTGTCTGCATAACTGATTTCAATTTGAGCCAGTGTTTACTATTAGGTAGGTGTCTGTAGAATCCAGATTTCACGATTGACCTGAGAAATCTGATCCAGCAGCTCTGGGCCTCTGTTCCTGCCAGCACTGGGCGGATGTTGCTCCCTTCAGCTGTGCCTGGGCACCTGGGTTTGCCACAGTCCTCGCCACTCCTTATCACCGACCCCCACTCTATTCTAATAGGGAAATATTCCTCTGTACCCTTTCTCCTTCAAAACTGGGAAAACACAAGATGGACTTACTTTTCGTGCAACCAGCCTGCCTCATTGACTTGTCACCTGCCTTGCTCCTGTAGGCGCTTGGGTTTCTAGCATCCTCCCGGTACTCCCCACAAGCCCACACACTAGGATAGCGGACCTCCCTGCACACCCCCAGCCTGCCTCAGCCTGGCTCCTCCCGCAGCTCTGTCCTACACACTAGCCTCATTCCTGCCTCTGGTCCTGATATTGGGGCATGTCTTTCTGGCTGGACTCTTGACTCCTCCTCAAAGACTTGGCCAGGGCCCTTCTCCCACTGAGAAGCATATAAACTGCCCCCAGAACATATCAGCTGCCCCCAGATCAGACGCCATCTTTCATGGGCCAGCGAGTGTCCTGACTGGGGTCCCTGTGGTCCCCCAAAGGAGGAAGCACGTGGCTCAGATTCTCTTCGCTGCAAGTGACAAGAGCACAACTCAGAATTGGCTTTCACAAGGAGAGGAACTTCTTCAGGCATAAATGACACCCGTCAGTGGCAGGCAGCCTTCGTGATGGCCGCCAGTGACCCAGTCTCTTAATGTCCATGCCCTGCGGTAGGCGGGACTGAGATTCTATCAAAAGCAGACTGTGGCTTCTGTAGGGGAGGTGCCTTCTCTTGTTGTCTCTTGGGTCCCTCGAGCAGGGGCGACCGTGTGGGGTAAAGCTGACATGGGTGACGGCCCCAGGAGGGGCCCATACGGTATGGTGTGCAACAGCTCAGCTGGGGCCCGCCGTGACCACCTGAATGAGCCTGGGAGCTGACCCGCCTCCGGTACAGCCTTCAGATGAGACTGCAGCCCCAGTCTTAGCTCGACAGTGGTCTCATCCTCCTTTAATCCTTGGTGGGGGGTCTCCTGTAGTGCAGGGGGGCTCCAGCCGCTGCAGGCCCCCCACCTCACACCTTGCCTACTCCTTGGCCCGCTTTGGTTGTATGTTCACCCTGATCCTTCATGGTGGCCAGGAAGGCGTGGTGCTGGGATTGGCCAGGCCTGCCTGCCCCTGAAGCCTGGGGTCTGACTCAGATTAAAGGAGGGGAAGTTTCACGAAAGGGAAACAAGGGCAGGCAGAAGTCACCGCAACCCACCAGGGCATCGGAAGGGACCGTCCCACTACATGGGGCTTAGGACCCTGAGGGCAGGTGAGTTCATCTTGGACAGGACTCCCTTGACACTGATGCTGGGAGACGTGCCCTGGAGGAAGCAAGGCCCCTTTCCCTGGAGCCCAGCAAGGCTACCGAGCTGTGCTGGGTGTCCTGGATGGAGACACTCACACTGCAGCAGGGGCCCTGCCACCACCCTAGCAAAAGCGCTTATTAGTGACCTTTGTGCTGACCCTCTGATTTGGATTTGGACTGGCAATTTTTAAAAAATGTATGTTAAAAAGTCATTCTTGTTTGGTTTTTGATTTTGCTCTTACTGTTATTTTTAATTGGCATGTAATAATTGTACATATTTCTGGGGTAGGGTGTGATATTTAGACACGTGTATGCAATGTGTAATGATTACATCAGGGTAATTAGCATATCTGTCACCTCAAACATTATCATTTCTTTGTGTTGGGAACATTCAAAGTCCACTCTTCTAGCTATTTGAAAATGCACAATACATTCTTACGGATTCCAGGCGCTTTCCGGCACTATAGGGCACTAACGCTTATTCCCCCATCTTGCCGCACTTTTGGATATGTTAACCAGCCTTGGCAATCCCCAGCCCGCTGCCCCCCACTCTCCAGGAACTACTCTCTATTTCTGTGACATCAACTGTTTTAGCTTCCACGTATGAGTGAGAGCGTGCAGTATTTGTCTTTCTGAGCCTGGCTTATTTCATTTAGCATAAGGTCCCCCAGGCTCATCCATATCTGGGCTGCCAATCTTAAGTTCAGCGAGTACAACCAACCACAAGGCCCACGCTCTAGCACCGAATCACATCCACCCCGAGTTTCCCTTCCTTCTTGTGCCATCCCAAGCTCACCCCCTAGCTGGAGACAGTGAGAAGGGACATTCTTTCGCCCGATTCCTCCTTCAGAACTGTGACCTCTCAAGGCTACCCAGAGGCGGATACTACCTGGCAGGGACTCGAGATGAGCTGCAGGGGTCAGGCTTGGATGTGATGCAGATACCCACTCCCTTCCTCCTGTATCAATTATAGTAGGTGAGGTTATGCTACAGAAACAAACACACTTTGCATCCCAGTGGCTTAAAACGACCAAGATTTCCTGCTCACGCTGTATGTTCAATGTGGGTTGGCGGAGGATTCGGGTCTCATCGTCACTCAGGTCCTAGGTGACAGAGCAGCCACTGTCTTTATGTTGCCAGATCTCGTGCCAGAAAGGAGAGCTCTCTGAAGGGTCTCAATGGGAAATTAGATGCTCCAACCGAAAAGAGACATGCCCCACTTTTGCTCACAGCTCATTGGCCAGAGCTAGTCACATGCTCTTCCTGGTCATGATGGGAACAGGAAGTGCACCTCCCCTTGCCCTCCTCCAGCTTCCTCTGGTCTGTCCACTTCTATGCCAATGTCCCACAAGTCTTAGTCACAGGACATCACACTCTGATTTATGACTTATTTCATCGGGACTCATGGAAACCTTGTTAGAATGAGTTATCTTATCTCCCAGGAGCAGGAAATAAAGTCTTTACAATTAACTCTGTGCTTGGGACTTGGGAATTGGTCTGCCATCTTGTCAGTCATTGACTGGGACCCCTGGGAACGACTTGTCTTACCTAGCCTTGAATTGTGCTCCCTTCTTCTGGAACTAACTGGCTTGCTAACAATACCCTTTGTTGTTTGTTTTGTTTTGTTTTGAGACGGAGTCTCACTCTGTCGCCTAGGCTGGAGTGCAGTGGCGTGATCTCAGCTCACTGCAACCTCCACCTCCCGGGTTCAAGCGATTCTCCTTCCTCAGCCTCCCAGGTTGCTGGGATTACGCCACCAAGCCAGACTAAGTTTTGCATTTTTAGTAGAGACAGGGTTTCACCATGTTGGCCAGGCTGGTCTCAAACTCCTGACCTCAGGTGATCCACCTGCCTCAGCCTCCCAAAGTGCTGGGATTACAGGTGTGAGCCACCGCGCACGGCCAACTTTTTGTTATTTATAGACACAAAGAGAAATACGTGGCTCTACTTTGTGGATACATTTATGCAAGAGAAAAAACACCTGCATACGTAGCTTCCAAGGAATGCACATCTCTATTTTATGGCCAGATAAATCCTTAAAGGGGAAAAGAACATGCCCAGGACTCAGAGGGGCTCTCGGTTCTCTTGGAGGGAACTACTTCGGTGTTTGGAGTCTATGGTGAGAACAGAAACCAAAATGCCTGCTGTGAGGATTGTGGAGGAAAAAAGGAAGGGTGCCGCTCACAGAAGCCTTGCTTTTGAAATGATATTGTGTATGTCTTATTTAAGGAGGAAGTTTAGGGCAGTGAGTTGAATCTAGATTTTGGTTTCAGCCTTCTTGGGATCCGATCTCAATTCTCCTACTTCCTAGTTTCATGACCTGGGCAAGCTTCTTAACTTCTCTGAGTCTCAGTTTCCTGTCCAAGACAGGCTTCTTAGTCCTGAAGTCTAAATGGGAGTGCCTGCTGATGTCATGGTGCAGAGAGAGTGTGCAAGACGAGCGGTCCCGAGGCCACCCTAGCTGTCAGGTGTGCGTCATGATACAAAATGGAATGGGATGGTTCCCGGGGGCTTCCCATGCATAGTTCCTGTGGGAATCATCTGTGTATGCCCTTGTTCTTGATATGGCTGTTTTTCTATTAGGTTGATGCCAAAGTCTTTGCCATTACTTTTCATGGCAATACTGCGATTACTTTTGCACCCACCAAATATGTCAGTTGCTGTTTCTTTTCCTCCATTGTGTTGGTTTCTGCAAGTACCTTCACACGGGGGGAACGTATAAGGTGATCTGCTTCCTCTGGCCTTGCACACCACACTGGAATTTCCGCCTCCCCTGCCACGGACCCTCCCAAAACTGTGAGCTCTTTGGGGTGAGGTCCACATGACATTTGCCTTCTGTGGAGGCCTTGCACGGAACAGGTGCCTCATAGAACAAACACAGGGACTTCTGGAAATGGGGTAGACGGTGGGACTATGCGAGGCCTTAGATGACGTAGAGCTTGGCTTCTGCATCTCACCTGAAAACTGCGGTGACTTTGTGTGGAAACTCACGCAGGTGAGTGTGACTGGGGAAACTTTTCTTCCCTGTCAAAGACTGGAGCCCAGTGGGAGCAGGTCCTGAGAGTGACCGGGCAGGGCCTTTGTACCACCTGGAACAGATTCCCAGTGGATGGGGTCTGTCAACACTACAGCCTGCTCGGCCCCCCACTGGGCCACCAGGCGCCAACCTCTCTCTTCCATTTCTCTCCATCCCCCTGCAGTCCATGAGCCTCATCGAGATCGGGAACCCCTCTCAGAGCCTGGAGAATGTCTGCCGCTGGGCCTACCTCCAGCAGAAGCCAGACACGGGCCACGATGAATACCACGATCACGCCATCTTCCTCACACGGCAGGACTTTGGGCCTTCCGGCATGCAAGGTGAGCCTCACCCATGCAGGGCCACAGAGGCGTGAAGCTGGAAATGAGCCCCTGGCCATGCAAGGGGCCCCGGGAGCCTTGGCCCAGCCCAGGGAAGAGTGTCAGGGCAGGGAAGGCCGTGGCCACCTTAGCTGGGTGAGGGTGTGGGGCAGTGCACTGATGGACAAATACATCATTAGAAGAGAATCCAGTGTCCTGAATTGGACCTATGTGTATAGGGACGCTAATGTGTCACAAAAGTGACATTTCAGAGAAGAGGAGGAAAACAGCCTAACAAATGGTGTGGGGCCAATTTGGAAAGAAAGGAGGCCTGTCACCTCCACTCACTCTATAGACAGAGAGCATCTCACATGGATTTTAGGTCTAAATAAGAAACGCAAAATAATGAAAGAAGATAACGTAGGTGGATGGCTCCATGTTCTTGGAGTAAGAGATGTTTTCTTTAAAAAGAGACAAAAGGCCGGGCGCGGTGGTTCACACCTGTAATCCCAGCACTTTGGGAGTCGGAGGCAGGTAGATCACGAGGTCAGGAGATCGAGACCATCTTGGCTAACATGGTGAAACCCCGTCTCTAATAAAAATACAAAAAAATTAGCAGGGCATGGTGGCGGGCGCCTGTAGTCCCAGCTACCCGGGAGGCTGAGGCAGGAGAATGGTGTGAACCCGGGAGGCGGAGTTTGCAATGAGTCGAGATCGCACCACTTTGCTCCAGCCTGGGAGACAGTGCGAGACTCTGTCTCAAAAAAAAAAGAGACAAAAAAAACCAAACAAACCATGAACTCAATGGAAAAAACTGATAAATAGTAGCACATTTCAAAAGTTTGTGCATTAAAGGCACGCTAATCCACTGGGGGAAATATTTATAAAAAAGGATTTATATCTGAAGTATGTGAAGAACGCCTACAAATCATAATAAGGATAATAAAGACAATCCAGTCAGATAATGGGCAGGAGACTCTTATCAGGCTCTTGACAAAATATGAATGAGCAATAAACATATGAAAAGGCACTCAACCTCACTAGACATTGGAAAAATGCAATTAAAACAATGAGGCTGGGCATGGTGGTGGATGCCTGTAGTCCCAGCCACTCGGGAACCTGAGGTGGGAGGATTGTTTGAGCCCAGGAAGTGAGCTATGATCACACCACTGCACTCCAGCCTGGGTGACAGAGCGAGGCCTTGTCTTACAAGAAAAAAAAAAAAGGAAAATTTAAAAACACAATGAAATATCAAGACGCACCTAATAGCATAGCTAGGTTAAAAAGACTGAAACTACCATGTCTGGGTGAGGAGTGGATAGCTCCCCTCAAACACAGCGCAGCCAGGTGTTGCCCTGACCATGTGATGAGAGTGCTGTTGGCTGTTTTGTCTTGGGGAGGGCACTAATGGGGAGCAGAGCTATCCCCTAGGAGGGGAAACCGACACAGCTTTTATATTAAGTGACCTGATCCCTCATTTAAAAATGTGAAATTGGCTGGGTGTGGTGGCTCACTCCTGTAATCCCAGCACTTTGGGAGGCCAAGGCGGGCGGATCACTTGAGGTCAGGAGTTCGTGACCAGCCTGGCCAACATCTCTACTAAAAACACAAAAATTAGCCAGTGTAGTGGCAGGTGCCTGTAATCCCAGCTACTCAGGAGGCTGAGGCAGGAAAATCACTAGAACCCCGGAGGCAGAGGTTGCAGTGAGCCGAGATTGTGCCACTGCACTCCAGCCTGGGCAACAGAGCAAGACTCTGTCTCAAAAAAAAAAAAAAAAAAAAGAAAAAATGAAAGGACAGCCAAGGGTTACCAGATATTTTAAAAAAACCAAAACACAAGAAATCCTTACAGCATGAAAAAGATGGACCAAGATGTAAAACAAAACAAAAAGTTTGAAAACTGGCTCTAAGAGAAAATAGAGATAATTTAGAGACAAGAAAAGCATGTTTTTAAAAGTAGTATTCCCAGAATGTTTGAGAAAATACATCCATAAACCCTAAGAGTTTTCTATGAAAAATTAGAGAACAACAAACCATTTGTATAAAATTATGGATAGGATGGGGGAAGTAAAAAATTCGAAAGGTAGACGGGGCGCGGTGGCTCACGCCTGTAATCCCAGCACTGTGGGAGGCCGAGGCGGGCAGGTCACGAGGTCAGGAGATGGAGACCATCCTGGCTAACATGGTGAAATCCCGTCTCTAGTAAAAATACAAAAATTAGCTGAGCATGGTGGCGGGTGCCTGTAGTCCCAGCTACTCAGGAGGCTGAGGCAGTAGAATGGACTGAACCCAGGAGGCGGAGGTTGCAGTGAGCCGAGATCACACCACTGCACTCCAGCCTGGACGGCAGAGTGAGACTCCATCTCAAAAAAAAAAAAAAAAAATCGAAAGCTGAAATAAAAAGTCAAGGCCATCTCCCAATGGGAGCAAAAGACAAAAAGATTAACATGAGAGAAAAGTTAGGAGACAGACCCTCCATCGAGGAGGCACACTCTATCTAATAAGATTCCGGAGAGAGAAAACAGCCACAAAGTAAAATAAGAGGGAAGAAAACAAAGAAAAACATAAAGATGCGCTTTCAGATCTCGCAGGCTCCTGTAATGCTGAGTAGGATGAATGGAAAGCCTCCCACGGAGGCAGATGCATCTGCAAGCCTGGCATACAAAGGGCAAAGAGGAGATGGCAACGTTCCACTCAGGCACACAGACTCCACGCTCGTCTCAAAATCTGCAGAGCAAAAAATGCAGATTTTCCTGTTTATTACAACGGGAAAAGACAAGGGTTAGATCACGATGCTTCTATTTTTAGGCGCGTACACCGCCAGCTCACCCGGGGTCCCAGTGGCCCTCCTTCCCTTCTCTGTGGAACGCGTGGCCTCAGGGTCTCTCAGTGGGGCATGGCAGGAGTGAGGGCAGGTTGGGGTTCTGAAAGTCAGGGCTCCATGCTTGGCAGGCCTCTAGGAAGACTCCCAGGGGTACAAGCAGAGACCTCGTGTGGCACCCATAGCCCTGTAGGCACTTCCCTATCTTTCCAAGCCGCCTCCCTCTGCTGAGACAGGAGCTGGGGAAGTGAATAGGTCTCATTATCCATCTTCCTCAGTTTGACGTGGGGTCTCTGCGTCATGAACTTCTGCCACCCTCCCCCTGGCCCTGGGCTGTCGTAGGCCACTGGCCTCATCTTCTACGGCGGCTCTGACCTCCCAGTCCGCACCAGCCAGCCCCCTGCTGGGATATTCTGCAGGGTAGTGTGGCCCATCGGCTGAACAGCTTTGCAGCCTTCTGCGGCATTATGGAAACAGGTCTAGCTAGGGTCTCAAGGACCCCAGAGAAACACGGGGAGACCCAAGAAACGCCCCCCAGAGGAGGTGGGCTTGGAGGGTGTGATACCAGGCAGACGAGGGGCAGGATGCCTCTAGCAGAGAGAGGTGTGGAAGCAGGTGCTGCTCAGGGGCCACTCAGTGAGGCAGGCAGGGGGCAGAGGCAGGTGGCGTGAAAGAGAACGGCAGGCAGGAAAGTCAGGTGTCAGACAAGCCATAGCAGGTGACATCTGACTAAGCAGAGGGCCCCAGCTGCAGTGTGGCTGTTACAGGCAGAACGGCCACGGGGCTTGTGTGGTGACGGGCTGGGGGCCTGCTGTCAGCCAGATGTCACAGGCTATGAGCTGTCTGCTGTGGTGTCTTCTGAGCTGTGCCAGCCGGGGGCAGTTGCCTGTGGTAGAGAGGGCATTGGGGCCTTGAGGAGAAGCAGCGCCTGGGAGTTAGGCCAGGCCTCACCTTCCCGGCCAGGCTATGGCAGCATCTGGAGCCGCCTCTTGTCTCCTCCCAGGCTATGCTCCTGTCACCGGCATGTGCCATCCGGTCCGCAGCTGCACCCTGAACCATGAGGACGGCTTCTCCTCAGCGTTTGTGGTGGCCCATGAGACTGGCCACGTGTAAGTGGCCTGGGGAAGGGTGGGGCACAGAGGGGCCACCCTAGGATCCCCAGCCCTGGCTGCCCACTTCTCCTCTGTGCCTTAAGAGGGACACGCCCTGTGTCAAAGCCACTTGGGGTGTGGTCTCCTGTCTTCCCAGCGCTGGGCAGTGCTGGCCCGAGGCCCACTTTTGCTGAAGGAACCAATTGAAGGAGGAAGGGCTTGCCTGCAGACTGAGCAGGCGCTCTGGGCCAGCTAGAGCTGGGGACCTTGCCCCATTATCACATCCAAGCCCCCAGGCAGGGTGGGCTCTACCCCATGTTATAGAGGAGGCTCGGAGGTTTGGAGGGTGGCTCGCCCTGGGTTAGAAACCTGGAGGCAGGGAAGCCACGGTCCCCCCCAGGTGTGCATGCCCCTCCTGGGGACAGGATACCTGGGGGACTGCCCGCTGGACACTGTCTCCCCAGAGTGCCTCGGCTTTCAAATTGCAGCAGGTAGATGGTCGGTGCCACCCGGCTCAGAGTGGGCCAAGGTCAGGAGGCCCGTTGGGGAAAGATGGGGCACCCTCCTATCATCGGGGTGGGGTGGGACTGGCAGACCCGTGTGCCAGTGGGATTCAGCCAGCTGCCTCGGCCCTCGCAGGCTGGGCATGGAGCACGACGGGCAGGGCAACCGCTGTGGCGACGAGGTGCGGCTGGGCAGCATCATGGCGCCCCTGGTGCAGGCCGCCTTCCACCGCTTCCACTGGTCCCGCTGCAGCCAGCAGGAGCTGAGCCGCTACCTGCAGTGAGTACTGCCCATGTGCCCCGTGGGCGACCCCTCAGTCCCTGGGGTCAGCTCTGGGAGGGTGCAAGTCCCCATGCACCAGAGCCAGAGCCCTCCGACCTCAGGTCCTCTAAGCTTGTGTGCGGGGGAGGAGAGAGGGCACACCTGTGAGAGAAGCCTGGTGTCTGGAGGAGAACCCATTGTCAGGGGTCTGTCCTTGAATGGCAAGTGGGCACGGCGGCTACCCTGGGGTCCGCTCAAGCCAGGTCCTGGTGTCTTACACCAAGGACAAGAGATGCAGCAGGGAAACTGAGGCAGCACAGCCAGGGGCCGGGATGTGCAGGTAGGGCTGCCATGGCAGCTCCAGCAGGGGCCTCAGCTGCCTCCAGGGCTGTGGATGGTCAGCCGCGCTGAAGGCTGCTCGCGGCACCGTGTGTCCCCCACAGCTCCTATGACTGCCTGCTGGATGACCCCTTCGCCCACGACTGGCCGGCGCTGCCCCAGCTCCCGGGACTGCACTACTCCATGAACGAGCAATGCCGCTTTGACTTCGGCCTGGGCTACATGATGTGCACGGCGGTGAGTGTGCAGCCCTGCAGCCGGGACCCTCCCAGGTCTGGGGGGAGGCGTGCTGGTGTAGGGGCAGCTCCCGGGACAGTGTGAGGACCGGCCCAGTGTGGGGAGGGCAGAGCGGCCCTCCAGAGTGGCAGCCTGTCCCTCTGCACCCACCACTCCCCACCCCCTAGGCACCCTGAGCCCACCTGGCAGGCCCAGACGTGGTCCTAGGCAGGAAGCACACGGGGGACAGGACTGTGACCAGGGTGTCAGCCAGGGGCAGTGAGAGCCTGCAGAGGTCAGGAGGGCTCCCAAGGAAGAAGGGAGGCCTGCAGGCTAAGCGGAAGGAGAGGGCATTCAGGAAGGGAGGGCCACGGACGCAGAGGCCACGGACGCAGAGGCCTGGAGGAGAGCGCGGCAGGCACAGGAGCACTCGCTGCTCTCCAGGGCCAAGTGCCAGGGCTGAGCCGTCAGAGGAACCGGCCATCGGCATGGAGGCCACACTGTGGGAGCTTCAGTGTCTATGAGCGTCTTAATGCTCGCCTCTGCTGCATGAAGGAAAGAAGCAAAGTAGTCCCATTTTACAGATGAGGAAACAGAGACCCGGAGAGGCTAGGTAACCTGCCTGAGCCCACAAAGCGAGCAAGTGGTAGAGTCGAGTACCAACGCAGGAGGGCCACCTCCTTCCAAGACTCCCTAAGGAGCACAGTGGACTCGATTCTCATGGCGATGGGGGCTCTGGAAAGGCTTGAGTAGGGGAGGCTCAGGGCCACGTCTGAGTTTCAGCTGATCCCTCAGGGACGTCCTGCAGGAAGTGCTATCAGGACAGGAAGCAGAAAGGCCAGGGAACAGGACTGTGAAGTCCAGGGGAGGCCGAGGCTGCAGAGAGGGCAGGCCTGTGGGGGTGGGGGTAGGGCTTCGCCAGGGTTTAGGAGGGAAATCCACGGCAAAGGGTCAGCAGGTGCCCACCTAGCCTCAGGCTGGCACTTAGGGCCCAGCTGCCCGCCAGGCTCCCTGAGGTGTGCAGCCTCCAAAGACTGGAGGCAGAGAGGCCCAGCCGCGTCCAGGGATGCTGCAGCCTCCACACCGTATGGGCAAGGTCTTCACCACCCCAGAATCACAACACCCACCAGCCTCACGGGCCCATCATGGGCCAGTCCCACTGGGGCATCTCAGGTTCCAGAACCCGGGGGTGGGTGGCATCCCTGGGAGGTCCCTGAGGTGGGAGGGACCTGGCAAGCTATGGTGCTGTCTTCCAGTTCCGGACCTTTGACCCCTGCAAGCAGCTGTGGTGCAGCCATCCTGACAACCCCTACTTTTGCAAGACCAAGAAGGGGCCCCCCTTGGACGGGACTATGTGTGCACCTGGCAAGGTGAGGCAGCATCAAGGGCTCTTGGAGGGCAGCAGGGCAGAGGACAGGAATCTTAGGTGCCCGGGTCACCAGGGACAGGCCCTGAAGTGGGGGTGGGGGCCCTCTCAGGGGACCTCTGCTGCCCTCTCCTTTCCCCCTTCTAATTACCCCTCACACGCTGTACGCCGGAGCTGCCTCCACCCTGTGCTTCTGATGCTGGAGCACACCTGGCATCTGAGAGTTCCTCATGGTGCTTCATGCCCCCCACTCAGGAATCCCCCTTTAAGGAGCAATTTCTGGGGTCCTGGCAGCCTTCGGTCACCCCTGGGCACTGTGGGTCACCTCACCTGGAGGCCAGCATTGGAGTCCTCGGGCCCAGCATGAGGCTTAACCTTTCCATCCCCAGGACCTCAGTGTTTGTCCCTTGTTGGGCACACTGTCCTTCGAGGTCCCTTGATGGCTGCCCCAGGCCCACTTCCCACCCTCTGGTGACTCTTGAAAGAAGGACTTCTTCCCTGTTGTCCTCCCAGAACTCCAGACCTGATTCTCATTTGTTCAGATGAAATCACACACCCACTCCTCAGCCAGTTACTTGCTAGGGGGCTGGCATATGCAGATGAGCTAAGCCTGGATCCCCACCCAGGAAGGCTCAGCCCCACTGAGACCACCTTGGCCCTGCAGTGGGGGCAGGGAGTAGGGAGTGGACACCGGTGCACATCCCAGCCAGGCCTAGGACGCCCCCAAACTGTATGGACCTGTGGCTCCTTGATGGAAGTCTTTGGCTCGGGACTGGGCCAGCTGCCTAATTTTAGTCTCTGGCGGAGCTTCTGAAAGAAACAAATTCCCAGGCCCATCCTTGAAGACTTTTGTTTGGGGTAGGATCCAATAATTGTTTTTGGTGTTCTTTTTTAAACTATGGTAAAAATTCTCACAAAATTCACTATCTGAACCACTTTACACAGTTCAGGCCGGGCGCGGTGGCTCATGCCTGTTATCCCAGCACTTTGGGAGGCCAAGGTAGGTGGATCGCCTGAGGTCAGAAGTTCAAGACAAGTCTGGTTAACATGGCAAAATCCCGTCTCTACTAAAAATACAAAAATTAGCTGGGCGCGGTGGTGGGTGCCTGTAATCCCAGCTACTCCGGAGGCTGAGGCATGAAAATCGTTTGAGCCCAGGAGGCGGAGGTTGCGGTGAGCCAAGATCGCGTCGCTGCTCTCCAGTCTGGATCACACAGCAAGACCCTGTCTCAAAAAATAAAAATAAAAGTGAAGTGCACCATTCGGTGGCATTTAGTACATTTGCAATATTGGGCAACCATCGCCACTACCCGGTCCCAGAGCTTTTCATCCCTGCAAAAAGGAAGCGCCATTTATCAGTCACCTCTCCCCTCCCTCCTCGCCCCATCCCCTGGCTAGCACCAACCTGCTTTCTGTCTCTATAGAGTTGCCTATTCCGGAATTTCATATAAATGGAATCATATATATGTGGCCTTTTGTGTCTGACTCACTTCATTCAGCAGAATGTTTCCAAGGGCCATCCTGTGTGGCATCTATCCACATTCCATTTCTCTCGATCGCTGAATAACCTCCCGTCGTGTGGGTGTGCCACATTTGGTGTATCCGTTTCTCCACGGAGGGACATTTGGTTGGTTTCCACCTTTTGGCCGTCGTGAGTCACGCCGCTGTGAACATTTGTGTATAAGGTTTTGTTCGAAGACCTGGGAATTGGTGTTTTTAAGATGTGCCCAGACTTAATGAAGGGTTAGAAGTCCGAAGTGAGTTGTTGGTAAGTTGCTGGGGGCCCAGTGAGGCCAGAACCACCCAGCTATTCCCCTTCCCACAGGCCCTCAGCAGAAGGAGCGGGGCAGAACATCTGCCGTGGCCCCAGGGGGAGCTTCGGAAAAGCTGAGTTGGAGAACAAGGCCAGCTAAGCATGGCTCCCCGCCCGCCGCACCCACCCCAGGCAGGGAGGAGGCAGAGGGAATGGGAGGCAGGCCCTGCACAGGCATGCTGGTTCAGGGAGCAGGAGCAGGAGCAGGAGCTGGTGGGGCCCCCATATGTGTGTGTGTGGCTGGCCTGCACCCCAGCTGATTGCCCCCTGCTTTTCCTGCAAGGTAGAAGTGGGGCAGAGGGAGGTCTGGTAAGGACAGTGAGCAGATGCAACCGAAGTGTCCCCACCTCACAGAGACCACCCACCTGGCCGCAGCCCTTCACTCATTTTGGTGGTAGGATCCTCTGCATTTAGCCCAGTAAGTGAAATTGCCTTTTATGTATTAAAGATAGTTGTGCTGACTGAGGGGCAGAGCTGGGGCTCTGCTCAGCCTCCCCTGGTTCCCGAGGAGCACAGGCTGGAACCGACCTAGATCAGGATTCGGTGTGGGGATGTTGGGGGAACGTGGAAGACGGGCTCCTCCCGGGCTGCTGTCAGAATCCCTGAATGTGGGTCTGTATGTTTCCCTGTCCTGTGCATCACTGTTCTCTCACGCTGTGATTTTACATCTGGAAAGCAATCATCTTCTCTCCCACCCTTTCCCGCAAGGACCCTGAGTGGTCATGCCCAGCTTCCATTTCCAGGTTAGGCACCGTCTTGCCCAGTTGGGACAGGAGGACCACTGCGTGGCTCCTTCCATCCTCCTGGCTCCTGGTTCCTGCGGCCACCAGTGACTTAGAGTCTGCCCCGGCCGCAGCCTTCCACGGTGCCAGGACAGCTCACACTCCATCTTCCTCAGCTTCGGCTGCTCTAACAGAAATACCGCAGACTGGGTGGCTTACACAACAGAGCCTTGTTCTTCGCAGTCCTGGAGGCTGGGAAGCCCAAGGTCAGGGTGCCAGCAAGGTTGGCTTCTGGGAGGACCCTCTTCCTGGCTTGCCATCTTCCTGTGGTCTCCTCACATGGCAGGGAGAGAGGGCATCTCTCTCAGGTCTCTTCTCATGAGGACATCAGTCCCACTCATGAGGGCCATCACCTAACGCTTCCCGAAGGCCCCCACACTGGGGGTTAGGGCTTCACCATATGAATTTGAGGGGACACACGCACTCAGGCCACAGCACTGCCTTACCTGGGCCCCTCCTCGCCTGCAACCCCACCTGCGCCACTGGCTGAGGGGAACGCCAGCCAGCATTTCTCTGGGTTGTTCCCCTCCCCTCCATGCTCGAGTGAGGGGAGCTTTGGGGGCAAGAGATGAGGTAATGGTGCCAGGAAAGAGATGGCTAGGACCCCCCAGGGGCCGGGAGCCAGGCCTGCCTGGCCCCAGCCAGTTCCTGTTGGCCCAGCCTGATGGGAGGAGCCCTTGACCACCTGCCCACAGTACCCCCCTCCGTCTGGGAGGGAGAATCCAGAGTGGCGGCCTCTGCAGTCCCCACGTGGCTCAGACTGCCACAAAGGCAGGTCTGGGAGGGTTTTAGCAAGGCATGAGAATGAGGGGCCTTTGCTAGGAAGGAAGGGGAGATGTGGGCACAGGTGGGCGCTAGGTGGGGCTTGCCCGAGCGAGGAGGACCAGGAAGGAAGCACGGGAGGGGAGCAGCTCAGGCATGGACACAGGAGGACGGCTCCCCAGCAATGACCTCAGACACAGAGACCTGGTGGCAGGAATTCCAGGGCGCACTTTCAGGGCCAGCACCGTGGGGAGAGTGAGGCACTGCACAGGGATGCGACCTCAGCAGAGGGCTCGGCCAGCGCCACGTGCAGCTCTGGAGCCTTTCAGAGTTGGCCCAATTGAAGCAACGTTTGAACCGCAACCCTGACCAGTCACTGGCTATGGCTGTCTGCAGGAAAGGGGACTGTTCCTGGGGGCTGTTCCTGGAGAAGAACTCAGCTGTGAGCCATGAGCAGCCCACATGCTCCACAGCTTGAGGAATAAACGACTTGGTCCTGAAGAGGGATCTGGGTGGCACAGCACAGGGTCTGCTGTGCCAGGCGTGTGTTGAGGAGATGGAGGCGTGCACAGGGGCAGGGAGGGAAGGGAGTGCGGTCTGTTCAGAGCCGCCAGCGCTGCAGTGCTGCTGTGCTGGGGGAAGGTGACCCTGAGGCGTAAGTAGAGGCCAGTCGTACCGAGTCTTTGATGCCAGCCACAGGGCTTGTCCTGCTGCGAGTGGGGAGCCATGGAGGGGCTTTGGGAGGGAAGCAGAAGTCGATTTACCATGAAGCTCATGATGCTTACGCTTTGGGGTCCCTTGCTCACAGGAGCCCCTTCCGAGACCCTGGGAGAGGCCAAGCCATGTGTTTACATGGTCACATTTTTGTAAATTTTGCAAAAATAAGATATTTTAACCATACTTGATTAACAGCACTTCTCTTTTCATTCCTGCTTCTCATTGATACAATTCTCCTCCCGTGGGTGCCACTGATACACTTCCCCTCCTGTGGGTGCCATTAGAATGGCCTTGGGCATTTTGCTGCTTTGGCTACAGAGAAAATGGATTGAGGGCATTTGTTTTGGCTTATTGCCATGATTCTGTCTCTTACAAGTAGAGTTAAATGATTGTGTCTGTCCAGGTGTAATAGTAGCTTCCAGAAATACTCGCCACACCGCTGTGCCAACTCATCTAGGGTCATTGCAGAATACAGGCTGTGTGCTGGCCATTTCCCTCAGATCTTTGCAGAAAAAGGTGCCTCAGCGGTACCGGAGGTTGTCACTACTTCTATATGGGCAGTATTTTGTTTGATTTTTAGGTTTGTTTTATAGATGGAGTACTTTAAACACAGATCCAACATGGATATTTCTTTAGAAAGGCCAAGTGTAACAAGATGGTCTGCTTGTTCAAAAGCTGGCTTAGGCCAGGTGTGATGGCTCACACCTGTAATCCCGACACTTTGGGAGGCCGAGGTGGGCGGATTACTTGAGATCAGGAGTTCGAGACCAGCCTGGCCAACATGGTGAAACCCCATCTCTACTAAAAATACAAAAATTAGCCAGGCATGGTGGCGCATGCCTATAGTCCTAGCTACTGGGGAGGCTGAGGCAGGAGAATCACTTGAACCCGGGAGGTGGAGCTTGCAGTGAGTCAAGATCATGCCACTGCACTCCAGCCTGGACGACAGAGTGAGACTCCATCTCAAAACGATAAATAAATAAAACATAAATAAATAAAAGTTAGCCTAGCCTCACAACATATGGATGACAATAAATGAAGGGCTCTAAAAAATTTCAAAGACAGAAGAGAAACCGCAATGAAAGCGAGATGCAGAAATGTTGGTTACGTCTGAAGGCACTGTTTTCACTTCCGTTTTGAAAGTGGCTTGGGAATGTTTCCATAAAATAAGGAAGAAATGACAGACTGTGATTTGGATATATGTATCAAATATACCTTTTATCATTTTCTAATTTATTTATTAGAAAGGAAAGAAAATTCAGATAAAAATTAATGGGATATGAAACTAAAGTAGTAGAAAATGAGCAAGGAAATAAAAAAAATAATAACTCTGACTTCAAAAAGCTCATTGTCACCAAAAAAGAAAGGTTTTATATCAAACCAAAAGCAGTTGCTCATTAGGAGGAAGAGACACATATCAAAGAAGTTAACAGGCCTTGGAGCGTTTGACAGTCTCATTAACGAAGAGGAGTGAATCTGATGAACACATAGGAAAATGGTTCAGACATCTTTCTGATTTGCCATGAAATGTTGACAACATCAAAGACGCCAGGGAGCTGCGAACGCTGCCACTGCAGTCAGGGCGTCCACGGCAACTGCTACTGAGCGTTGCTCATCCAAAGAGTGTCTTAAAGTCAAGCTCCCACAGAGAAAACTTGAAATGCCCTGAAAACCACATCAAGGACGGAAACCAGAGAGCACCTCCTCCAAATGTCATCATCCTAAATGTTCAGATGGCGTCACCCATAACTTCTTTAAAGTACTGATCATTTTTTAAAAAGAAAGAATTTCCCTCAATATGCCAGGGCCAAGTGCTGGCCAACTCCATCTGCTGCCTGTTTGGTTGGTATTGGTTTTTTTCCCTAACAGCTTTAATAAGGTGAGATCTATATTTAAATTCACTTTTTAAAGTGTACAGGCCGGGTGCAGTGGCTCATGCCTGTAATCCCAGCAGTTTGGGAGGCTGAGGCAGGAGGATCACCTGAGGTCAGGAGTTTGAGACCAGCCTGGCCAACATGGTGAAACCCTGTCTCTGCTAAAAATACAAAAAAATTAGCTGGGCCTTGTGGTGGGCACCTATAATCCCAACTACTCAGGAGGCTGAAGCAGGAGAATCACTTGAACCCGGGAAGCAGAGGTTGCGGTGAGCCGAGATCTCGCCACTTCGCTCCAGCCGGGACAACAAGAGCGAAACTTCGTCTCAAAAATAAATAAATAAGTAAAAGAGAGTGTACAATTCAGTGATTTTCAGTGTATTCATAGAGTTTTACAGCCATCACAACAAACAAGCGCTGGAACATTTTTGTCACTCTGAAAAGTTCCAAACCCTTTAGTAGTCACCTCAATCCATCCTACTCTCGCCCAACTCCAGATAGCCACTCGTAGCCACTCATCCTCTTGCTGTCTTTATCGATTTTCCAATTCTGGACATTTCATATCAATGGAATCATACAACATGGGACATTTTGCGCCTGGCGTCTTTCACTTGGCATAATGTTCACAGGGCTCATCCCTGTTGTAGTGTGCAGCAGCCCTGCATTCCTTCCTGTTGCTGAATACTAATCCACTGTGTGGGTATTCATCATTTATTAGTTGATGGACATTTGGGTTGTTTCCACCTTTCGGTAATGATGGGAAATACCGCACAAACATTCGTGTACAAAGTATTGCGTGCATGGGTCGTTTTTCTTGGATGTACACCTAGAAATGGAATCATTGGATTTTATGGTAACTCCATGTTTGACATTTTGAGGAACTGCCAGTTTCCCAAAGCAGCCTGTTTTACATTCCAACTGGCAATGATGCTTCAGATTTCTCCATATCCTCCCCAAAACTTGTTATTTTATTTGTTATACCAATCCTAGTGCATGTGAAGTGATATATCTCATTGGGGTTTTGATTTGTATTTCCCTAGTGACCTATGATGACCGTCTTTTCATGTGCTTAATGGCAATTTGTATATATTTTTTGTATAAATGTCTATTTAGATCCTTTGCTTATTTTTTCATGGAGTTATTTATATTTTTATTATTGAATCCTAAGAGTTTTTTATTTATTCTGGATACAAGTCTGTTATCACACTCACCAGTGTAAGTGGTCTGCAAATATTTCCTCCCATTCTGTGGGTTGTCTTTTCACTTTCGTGATGGCATCATTGAGGTGCAAAAGTGTTTAATTTTGATGAAGTCTAATTTATCTATTTTTACTTTTATCACCTGTGCTTTTGGTGTTGTATTTGAGAAACCATTACTTAGGTCAAGAAGATTTACTCCTATGTTTTATTCTCAGAGTTTCAGCTCTTACATTGACATCTGTGATCCATTTTTGAGTTAATTTTTGTGTAAGTGTGAGGAAGATGTCCAACGTCATTCTTTTGCATGTGAATATCCAGTTGTCTCAGAACCATTCGTTGAAGAGACTATTCCTTTTCCATTGAATTGTCAAAGTTTAACTTATCAAATGTAAAGGTTTAGTTCTAGGCTTTTGTTCTATTCCGTCGGTATATTTGTCTGTCCTTATGCCAGGGATACACTGTCTTGATTACTGTAGTTTAATAGTAAGCTTCGAAATGGTGAAGTGTCTTCCCACTTTGCTCTTTTTTCAATATTATTTTGGCTATTCTACATCCTGTGACTTTCCATATGAATTTTAGGAGCAGCTTCTCAACTTTGCAAAATTCTAGTCTGCATTTTGATAGGAATTATGTTGAACCTGTAGATCAGTGTGAAAGTATTTCCATTTTAACACTGATCAATGAACATTGAGATGTCTTTCCATTTACTTAGAACTTGAACTTCTTTCAATGATGTATTGTAATTTTTAGTGGACACGTTTTGCATTCCTTTTGTTCAATTTATTACTAAGGTTCTTTTTTTCTTTTTGGTGCTATTGTAAATGGAGTTATTTTCTTAATTTCATTTTTAAATCATTTATTACTAGTTTATAGAAATGCAGTTGATTTTTTTGTATATTGGTCTTGTTTCCTGAAACCTCAGTTAATTTGTTTGTTAGCTTTAAGTTTTGTAGGGGATTCTTTGGGATTTTCTATACAGAAGATCATTTTGTCTGAAAATAAAGATAATATACTGTTTTAACTGCCATTTTGAAAGTGGTTCCAGAATGTTTTGATAAAATAAGGGAGAAATGACAGACTCTGATTGGAATATATGTGTAAAAAGTACCTTCTTTTATTATTTTCAAATATATTTGTTAAAGGAAAGAAAATTCAGATAAAAATTAATGGAATATGGAACTAAAGTAATAAAAAATGGGCGATGAAATCAAGAAAAATGACTGACTTCAAAAAGCTCCTTGTCACACACACACACAAATCTATTCCGTTGCTTTTCGTGTGCTTAATGGCTATTTGTCCTCACGTCAGCAGGGACGAAAGGGCAAAAAGGGACCTCGCTAGCTCCCTCTGGCGCTTTTATAAGGCCCCCAATCCCATCCAGGATGACCTCATGGCCTAAGGATCTCCTTAAGGCCCCACCTCTTAAAACTGTCTATGTTCAAGTTCACTGATTGCATCTGCTGCCAGCTCAAATCTACCACTGAGCCAGCTAATTAGTTTATCTTTTAAGTTTTTGTACCATTCAACTCCAGAATTTCTATTTAGTTCTTCTTTTTTTTTTTTTTTTTTCGAGACAGAGTCTCTGTTACCCAGCCTGGAGCGCAGTGGCGCGATCTCAGCTCACTGCAACCTCCACCTCCCGGGTTCAAGAGATTCTCCTGTCTCAGCCTCCGAGTAGCTGGGAATCACAGGTTGTACCACCATGCCTGGCTAATTTTTGTATTTTTAATAGAGACAGGGTTTCACCATGTTGGCCAGGCTGGTCCAGAACTCCTGACCTCAGGTGATCTGCCCCCCTCGGCCTCCCAAAGTGCTGGGACTACAGGTGTGAGCCATTGCACTCAGCCTCTATTCAGTTCTTTTTATAATTTCTATCTCTTTACTGAGATTCTCCATTTGGTGACACGTCATTCCTGTACTCTCCTTTAGTTCTTTAGACATGATTTCCTTTTGTTCTTTAAACACATTACTTATAGCTGCTTTGAAATCTTTGTCTGCTGAGTCAGACATCTGGGCCTCCTCAGTGGTAGTTTCTGTCACCTGCTTCATTTCCTGCGTATGGGTCACACTTTCCTGTTTCTTTTCATGGCTCAGAAAGTTTCCTTGAAAACTGGAAACTTTAGATAATACATTGAAGAAACTGGATAATGATCCCCTGGGCCTTGCTGCTACTGTTTGCTTGTTGATTTTAGTGCCCTGGTCCTGCTGTTTCAATGAAGCTTATGTCCCCTGCAGTGTGCAGCCACTGATATTGCTCCCCAGAGGTCACAGCCTTGGTCATATGCAGTCACCCTGACTGCACCCCTGCCCCTAATGCCCTGGGGTAGTGGCATTAGCCAGGCTCTTTGACTATCTCTTTCCCAGATCTTTCCATTAAGCTTCTGGTCATTCTGCCTGTATTGCTATCACACCCAACTGTTAGCCTTCACTAACTGCTAGCTGCTACTAACAGCTAGTGCGATTGATTGCTGTATTGTTTTTGACAGTGTCCTGGGGTATATAGCTTGCTCTACAATATGACCTAATTAAATTCTAGACCTTTCACAGGGGCAGGGTGTTGCCAGTATCTGAGGTGTATTGAGACCTTCAGGAGGGCTCTTAGCTGTCTTTGTCCCTGGTTCTGTCTGTTTAACTTCTACAGGTTGAGCATCCTTAATCTGAAAATCTGAAATCCGAAACACTTCTGGTTCCAAACGCTTCTGGTTCCGAGCATTTCAGATAAGGGACACTCAACCTGTAGCTGGTTTAACATTTTGTTTGTTGCTATTAGGACCATTGGCCTCCTCTTAATTGCTCACTGCTAAGACCCTTGTTGTTTTTGACAGTGCCCTTAGACATGAACATCCTCCACGCTCTGTTTCAGATCAAAGTCAGTCCCCTTAGGGAGAGCTGTGAAGCCTTCTGTTCTGACTCTCCCTCTGGGCAGGCCCCTGCACCACTGAGCCAGAGCTAAAGGAGCAGGGTCAGTGGCCTGCTTCTCCCAGAGTGACATTCCTGGCCTACAGACTGCTCACTAGATGGGAATGGTAGCCACTAGTCTTCTGGGCTTGCCCCTTTCAACATGGAACCTCTACCCTATAAGCAATCTGGGGAGGGGCTATCAGGTCCACCATTCTTGGCCTGGTGTACCTGGAGCAGAGCTTGTGCCCTATGAGTGGGGCCTGGGTGGGGGAAGGGGGCCCCAGGCCTCTTGGCCATCCCACCAGAGAGAGACTCTGCAACAGAGTTGAGAGGGATGACACCAGTGGCCTGGGTTTCTCAGTATGAAACTGTAGCCTCAGACCGGGAGCTTGGAGTAGAGGCAGCCCCGTCTTCTTGGCAGTAAAGCTTCTGTCACACTGAGCTAGGGCAGGAATGGGGGAGGGCTGTGGCTCCAATGCCATAGACTTTTGCTTTTCTTACCAAGATTTAATAGATTTTCTTGAGAAAAAAAAAAAGCTTCTTCATTTGTTGTTTAGACCTTAGGACAATTTCCAGAGACTTTAAATGGCTGCTTTTTAAAAACTAATTTTCGTCAGTTACTGGGGAGAGGGTTCACCAACCTCCTTACACTTCCATTCAAAGTTTCTGTTTGCTGC
The DNA here is from genome assembly GCF_000001405.40 of Homo sapiens. Lineage (NCBI taxonomy): Eukaryota > Metazoa > Chordata > Mammalia > Primates > Hominidae > Homo > Homo sapiens. The sequence goes on along the minus strand of NC_000005.10, from coordinate 179,141,420 downwards.
CTGTTTTTGTAAATAAAGTTTACAAAATAAAGTTCCAATAAGGAACACAGCCATGTCCATTCATTTATAGGTTGTCTATAGCTGCTTTCAAGCTCTGATGGCAGAATTGATTAATTGCAACAGAGATTATATAGCCTGCAAAGTCTACAATAGTTACTCTCTGGCCCTTTTACAGAAAGAATTTGCTGAGGAATGGTTTGCTGAGAAGAGTTTGCCAAGGAATGGCTGCGTTCTCTTTCTGTTCTCTTTGTGGAAACAGTGCTACAAAATTAGGTCATACAAAGAAGGGTTAAAGAGTATGCAGTCGGCCGGGCGCGGTGGCTCACGCCTGTAATCCTAGCACTTTGGAAGGCTGAGGCAGGTGGATCACCTGAGGTCAGGAGTTCGAGACCAGCCTGGCCAACATGGCAAAACCCTGTGTCTACTAAAAATAAAAAAAAAAAAAATGCAAAAATTAGCTGGGGGTGGTGGTGGACACCTGTAATCCCAGCTACTCGGGAGGCTGAGGCAAGAGAATCGCTTGAACCCAGGAGGCGGAGGTTGCAGTGAGCCAAGATCGTCACTGCACTCCAACCTGGGGGGACAGAGTGAGACTCTGTCTCAAAAAAAAAAAAAAAAAAAGAGCATGCAGTCGGAACTGAAGGAAAAGTTCTGTCAGTCAATGTATTAGAAGTCCTTGTTCTCTGTTTTTTGGTTGTTTGGTCATTGTCAGTTTTAAAACGTTTTTGTGTGATGTATTTTCTCATTTCAAGTCAATAACCCATTTTGCACCTAATTTAATTCTTTAATTTTGCAATCTTCTTCTTAAAGTGGGTCCCCTAAACTGTAGACGCTTCCTCCCCCTAGAGGAATGAGAGCACTGTGATCAGATTAAGATGTGGAATCATTTTTCCTACATGCCAGCATTGGACTTTATTCCTGGTTTTTACCATGTCAGCATATTACTTGTCCCTTTTTTCCATAGTATTTCCTCTAAATTGCCTTTTTTGCTTAAATAAACCTTGTATGTCTTGCAGTCACTGGCCTGATAGGCCAGTGGTATCTTTATAAATGGGCTGTGTGTGGGCACCCAGGAGGCATCTATCCTGGCGGCGTCATGTGGTGCAGCTTCCAGCTGAGGGGACACAGAGCTGCTAGAAGGCAGGAGGGTGGGTCAGCAAGCGGGAGGCAGGGCAGGCCAGCCCCTCACTGTGCCTCTTATTGCCTCTGGCCAATGAGGCCTGTCTTCTGGGGGCTCTGAGCATCTAGGGGCGAGGAGGGTGAGCTCCCCCTGTGCCCCAGAGTGGGGCCAGGACGTGTCCCAGACACTGCAGGCTGCAGAGCGCAGGACTGTCCCCACGGCCCGGTGTGAGGGTGAGTGGAGGGACTGGCTTCCTGTCTTTCAGCATTGTTTTAAAGGACACTGCATCTGGCTGACACCTGACATCCTCAAACGGGACGGCAGCTGGGGCGCTTGGAGTCCGTTTGGCTCCTGCTCACGTACCTGTGGCACGGGCGTGAAGTTCAGGACCCGCCAGTGTGACAACCCACAGTGAGTTGGCCCCATGTCCCCCTGGCCTTGCTGAGTGGCAGCTGAGGGTCCAGGAGACCCTCTCCAGCCAGCCCTGTCCTGGAGGGCCCTGTGGCTGCACACCAGTTCTGGAGAGGTGCAGGGCAGGCTGCCCCGCCTGCCTCACCCTACCTGGGAGGGGGTGACGGCTCAGGGGACGCTTAGCTCTGCCTCTTACCCCTTCCCCTGGCCGGGGCCCACAGCCCACCTGCCTGCAGCCCACTCTAGACAGATTTACTCTGTCTCTCCTGGCCACGGGCATGGAGGAGAGGAGGGAGGACCGAGCTGGGGAAATGGGGGTAAGCGGGGGTGGTCTCTCAGCCCCCCCGATGCTAGCACCTGGGCAGCTGTTTGCAGCCAGGTGAGGGCAGGGTCGGGATTTGTCATCAGTGTCTGGCTGCCCAGGGGAGGGACAACCTGTAGAGCCGGCCCATGCCAGCTGCATCCCCATGCTCAGCTATACCTCAGCCCCACCCGCCACGCAGGCCCCATGCCCTGTGCTGTCCTCCTGCCCCTTCTCATTCCTCCCACCTCACCCCCACACACCCCGTAAATATCTCCCGGGCCCGTGCTCCCTCCTCAGCCCGCAGCCACTTTCTCATCCACACCCTCCTCTCCCTCCTCCACTGCCTGTCTCCTCCTGCCTGAACGCTCACCCTGGCCTCACCCAGGGAGTGTCCCGGGGGGGCTGGCATGGAGGGAGAACCCTCCACAAACATCAGCGTTACCCCCGTCTCCCACCTGCGCAGCGGGCTCTTACGCCGCAGGCCCTGCAGCTGCTTAGACACACAGAGCTTCGGTCTTTCCTTTTTGGCCTGTCTGGTATTTTAAAGATTTTGATTTGCCTGAAAATATTGACAATCTGTAATTTCACATTAGAAAAACAAACAAAACAGATTTCCAGCCTCCAAATTGGGCATCACAGATGCACAGCCGGGCCCAGTTACCAGCTGGCGGGCAGGGCTCCGGGTGCGTCCCGGCTGCTGCGCTCCGGCCTCTGCGGCCGCTCCTGGGTCCTGTTCACTCGGGCTGCTCTCCTTGCTCTGGCCAGGCCCGAGCTGGACCCTGCGGAGCCAGAGAGGACCCGCAGTCACGGCTCCGCGGAGGGATCCCGCAGTGGGACAGCCTCCCTCAGCAGCACGTGTGAACACGCTCGTGCATGGATCCCTCTCCTACCCCTGCTGTCCTCCTGCCCCAGGCTCCAGGCTGCCCTCCCGGCCAGAAGCAGACAGGGAGCCCCGTGGCCCCTCCTCAAGCACCCCTGGGGCTTTTACGCCAGACTCGGAAAGAGATTGCTGGGCATTTAGAACCTCAAGAGGCAGTGTGTGGGTTGGTGCTGTTCCCAGTGAAGCGAAGACGTTGCAGAAACGCAGCCCGCCTTCTCCACAGGGAGAAAACCCAGCGGCCGTGATGCGTCTGCTTTGTGCCAAGACACTTGCTGAGAACTGCAGCACCGGGACTCTGGGGCCTCAGCATGCCTCTTTCTGTGCTAGGCTCGGTGCCCAGGGCCAGCTGCAGAGGAGACTCACTCAGCTCCTGCCGTGCTGGGGTTTTCGCCCTGTGGGGAACACAGAACCTAAACACCCAATCACAGCTTCCTGTTCATCTCCAAGCCCAGGCATCAGTGCTGGGGAGGAGGTGGCACCAGGGCTGTGAGCAGATGCTGCCTCCCCACAGGAACCCCAGGAGGGAGGATGTGGCCATCCTGTCCTGTCCTTTCAAGAGCTTCACTCTGAGGCCTGACAGGCTGGACAACTGCCCAGGTCTTACAGCTAGGACATGGCAGGGCAAGGTCCCTTTGCTCAGCAGAGCTGCCCCCCGGACACCTGAGACTTAGGGATCCCCCCTAAAAAGATCTCACAAGGGCACCCGGGTGCTGCCTCTTTCCAATGGCACGGAGCGGCAAGGCCTTTGCTTTCTCCTCCAGCCCGGCCAACGGGGGCCGCACCTGCTCGGGCCTTGCCTACGACTTCCAGCTCTGCAGCCGCCAGGACTGCCCCGACTCCCTGGCTGACTTCCGCGAGGAGCAGTGCCGCCAGTGGGACCTGTACTTCGAGCACGGCGACGCCCAGCACCACTGGCTGCCCCACGAGCACCGGGATGGTGAGCCCTTCTGGGAGGCATCAGTGGGGGCTCAGCAGGCAGGCCCTAGGGTGGGCAGGGTGGGGGCTTGTGCCTCTGATCCTGCATGGGGCAAGGCTGCCGCGACCCTGGGCTGGCAGGAGAGCCCACCCTGGCTGGTGTGGCTGCCCTGGCCCACTCCTGGGTGGGGCATTAAAGTTCCTAGCAGGGCTGCAATCCCAGAGCACCAGAACACCCCAGAGTAGCTGAGGACATGGAAGAGGTGGCCGGGCTGCGGGCTCGGCAGGGGCCGGGCTCCTGCAGTTCACCGTGGGTGGACGAGGCTTGAGCTGTGTGGTCAGCTCAGGGCTGAGGCCAGGGCTGACCCTGCCAAGGAATCTGGTGACCTCTGACCTTCTCTATTAGTCGGGACTCTCAGTTGCGAGTGTCAGAAAGTTGACTCCAACCGGTTTCAGCACTAGAAGGCATTTATTGGCTCAGGGACCTGAGGAGTCTGGTGGCCTTGGGCATGGCAGTGCTTGTGTGGCAGCTGGGGACCCTCCTGGGACGGACTGTAAACACAGTCCTTGTTTCTCCTCCATGGCTGTTGCCCTAGCCCAGCAGCTGCTGCCTCATGTGGGCCAGTGCAGGGTTGGAGGTGACACAGCAGATGGGGTCCCCCTCTGGCGGAGGCCACAGTCTGGGGGCCCAGCGTTTTAGTTGCCTCAGATAAAGGCTGAGAAGGGAAGGTTCCAGGGACCTGAGTCTGAATCGAGGCAGGCTGGCCTCATTCTGGATTTCAGAGATTGACTGAAAAGGATTATTTACTTTTTTTTTTTTTGAGACGGAGTCTCACTCTGTTGCCCAGGCTGGAGTGCAGTGGCGTGATCTCTGCTCACTGCAACCTCTGCCTCCCAGGTTCAAGCTATTCTCCTGCCTCAGCCTCCTGAGTAGCTGGGACTTCAGGCGCACGCCACCACACCCGGCTAAATTTTTGCATTTTTTGTAGAGACAGGGTTTCACCATGTTAGCCAGGATGGTCTCCATCTCCTGACGTCATGATCCGCCTGCCTCGGCCTCCCAAAGTGCTGGGATTACAGGCATGAGCCACTGCTCCTGGCCTTTTTTTTTTTTTTTTTGAGATGGAGTCTTGCTCCGTCACCCAGGCTGGAGTGCAGTGTGCAGTGGCGCAGTCTTGGCTCACTGCAAGCTCGGCCTCCTGGGTTCAAGCGATTCTCCTGCCTCAGCCTCCCAAGTATCTGGGATTACAGGCGCTCACCACCACACCCAGCTAATTTTTGTATTTTTAGTAGAGACGGGTTTCACCATGTTGGCCAGGCTGGTCTGGAACTCCTGACCTCAAGTGATCCACCTGCCTCTGCCTCCCAAAGCGCTGGGATTACAGGTGTGAGCCATCTTGCCTGGCCTGAAAAGGGTTCTTTAGATAGCAACCCAGCAAACAGACATTTGCAGCCTCGGAGGTCTCCAAGCGGGGCCTCGGGGATGTGAGAGCCGGGCTGCACCAACAGCCTGGCTGGCTTGGTTGGGAAAAGCTCTTCCAAAGTCCACAACCACCAGGGTCAAAGGCTTAGGAGACACAGAGACAGGAAGGGGGCTGCTGTCACCCACCCCTTTCCCTCTCTGTCTGCCCTGGAGGGTGGGCCACGTGGGGACCCTTGTGGAAATTTCTCCTGCTTGGTGCCTCCTTTGCACACACATGGGGAAGCCATCAGGGCTCCTTGCAGACCCCCAGCTGCTTCCCTTCCAGCCAAGGAGAGATGCCACCTGTACTGCGAGTCCAGGGAGACCGGGGAGGTGGTGTCCATGAAGCGCATGGTGCATGACGGGACGCGCTGCTCCTACAAGGACGCCTTCAGCCTCTGTGTGCGCGGGGACTGCAGGGTGAGTACACAGAGGCCGGCACGGGGGGCTACCGTGTCAAGTCTCAGCTTCCTGGGTACTGACCTCCCCCTTTTCGGGGTATTGGCAAGATGCATGAGGTGAAGCATACGAAGTGTCAGAAACAATGCCCGGACCAGGGCAGGCTCTTGGCAAATGTCTGTTTACCCCTCCCCTGTGCTGGGAGCCTGAGACTTGAGTATGCCTAGGACTCACCTGGAGAGTTTGGACTCCACCTCAGACGTCCTGATTCCACAGGTCACGGTGGTGGCGGCCTGGGAGCATGAATTTTTAGGAGCATCCCAGGTGATTTCCAATGCACGTGACCTACAGGGGACCCTTGTGAAGCAGGCCCCATCCTTGCACCCTGCAGGGCACTGGGCAGCTTCTTGCTGGATCTGGGTGGCCACTGTGAGGGTCACTGGTTTGGTGCTTTGTAGAAATGCCCTCCTCTGTTTTCTTTTATTATGATGCCTTTGGCTTCAATCTTTGGCTGTCAGGAAAAACAATCTCGTGTCACCTCGCCATGTGACGGTGACATGAACATAGACTTGTCCCTGCCAGGCTCCCCCGAAAACAACCGGAAGTCTCTGCTTAGGGCTTGTGTAGACAGGACTGATGGCAGGAGTCGTGGAGGCTGACTCTGGCTTGACCTTCCTGAGAAACAGCCGCATCGGCAGGAAGGCACCTCTAGGGGAGTGGGCGCAGGGACAGCGGCTGGGGGCTGGAGCCGGGAGCTGGAGCTGGAGTCGGGAGCTGGGGGCTGGAGCCGGGAGCTGGGAGCTGGAGCCGGGAGCTGGGGGCTGGAGCCGGGAGCTGGGGGCTGGAGCCGGGAGCTGGACCCGGGAGCTGGGAGCTGGAGCCGGGAGCTGGGGGCTGGAGCTGGAGCCGGGAGCTGGGGACTGGAGCCGGGAGCTGGGGGCTAGAGGCCCGGAGCTGGGGGCTGGAGCCGGGAGCTGGAGCTGGAGTCGGGAGCTGGGGGCTGGAGCCGGGAGCTGGGGGCTGGAGCCGGGAGCTGGGGTCTGGAGCCGGGAGCTGGACCCGGGAGCTGGGAGCTGGAGCCGGGAGCTGGGGGCTGGAGCCGGGAGCTGGGGGCTGGAGCCGGGAGCTGGGGGCTGGAGCCGGGAGCTGGGGGATGGAGCCGGGAGCTGGAGCTGGAGCCGGGAGCTGGAGCTGGAGCTGGAGCCGGGAGGGTGCTCGAGGGCTGCTCTGCATTTGCTCCTGTGACTTCGGCAGGGCCGGGAGGCTGGGCTATACAGCTGGCTCAGAGATGGCGACACCAAATACGCCAAAACAAGAACAGGTGGTGTCTGCTCTGTACCCTTGGGATTTTAATTTATGGAGGTGACCCAGTGAGGACGTGGGGAGGCCAATGTCACTGAGAGGGCTCCTGAGGAAGGCAGGGCAGTGGAAGGGGGACAGCTCAGGAATGGCCAGTTTGAATCATTCCAGTGGGCTCTGGAGTTTAGGGTGGTCCCCAGTAGCCTGGTACCCAACCCTGGGATGAGTTAGGGTGCAAGAATCTTGGTTTGGTATGTGAGTCCTGGATAAAGGAGGTGCTTGGGGTATAGACTGAAGACTGGCTGGCTTGCATGTGAAAGGTGTGTCCCCAACCCAGTGCTTTGCTGTCCCTTAGAACTGGATACCCCTGGGAGGTGTAGTCTCTCCCCAGACAGGAAGATTTTTAAGATGTCAAAATATCAAGACATAGGACGTTTTGAAAAACAAAAACATAATTAATACAGGCAGCAAGCATGGGAAACAGTTGTAGTACAAGTAGCTTCAGATGGCAGCTGTGATCATGGTTGTAAACCTAACGGGGAGGGAAGATCACTAATGCACTGTCTCCGTGGGTGTGGCTATCACGTCACTCCTGACATGGGTATTAAAGAAGGATAGGGGCTGGGCGTGGTGGCTCACGCCTGTAATCCCAGCACTTTGGGAGGCCGAGGCGGGCAGATTATTTGAGGTCTGGGGTTCAAGACTAGCCTGACCAACATGGTGAAACCCCGTCTCTACTAAAAATACAAAAAAAAAAAAAATTAGCTGGGACTACAGGCAGCGACTCGGGAGGCTGAGGCAGGAGACTCACTTGAACCTGGGAGGCGGAGGCTGCAGTGAGCCAAGATCGCGCCACTGACTCCAGCTTAGGCGACAGAGCGAGACTGTCTCAAAAAAAAAAAAAGAATAGGTTAAATATTTTATTAATGTTGATTTTGACAGGTAATAGCAGGTTGCTCAATTTTGCATAATTAGAAAACATAAATATTCATGCAGAACCTAATACTGGGTCAAAAAATAATATCCAACTGGATTCTGTCTGTTAAAGAATATCAAAACTTGGCCGGGCGCGGTGGCTCAGGACTGTAATCCCAGCACTTTGGGAGGCCAAGGCAGGTGGATCACCTGAGGTCAGGAGTTCAAGACCAGTCTGGCCAACATGGTGAAACCCCGTTGTACTAAAAATACAAAAAAAATTAGCCAGGCATGGTGGTGGGCACCTGTAATCCCAGCTACTCGGGAGGCTGAGGCAGAAGAATTGCTTGAACCCAGGAGGCAGAGGTTGCAGTGAGCTGAGATTGCACCATTGTACTCCAGCCTGGGCGACAGAGCAAGATTCCGTCTCAAAAAAAAATGTAAAAATAAACAGCATCTCCTGCTTGCCAAACATAAATGTTCATCAAGCCAGGGACGGTGCCTGCCTGGGCCTCGATGAGTCCCCTGCCCAAGACCAGCCGCGTGCACAGGGGCCCAGACGGAAACTGCCAGGTCGAGACACTGCTGTAGGTGGCAGGCAAGGTCCGTTTAACTGATGACTAGACGCACTCTGATTTTGGAGATAATAAAAGATGAGGCCAGGCAAGGTGGTTCACGCCTGTAATCCCAATGCTTTGGGAGGCCAAGGCAGGAGGATCGCTTGAGGCCAGGTGTTCGAGACTGGGGGCAACATAGTATGACCCTGACTCTACTAGCAGGACGTCTCAAGTGCTCACTGCCTCCTCCCCCAACAGAAGGTGGGCTGTGACGGTGTGATCGGCTCCAGCAAGCAGGAAGACAAGTGTGGCGTGTGCGGAGGGGACAACAGCCACTGCAAAGTGGTCAAGGGCACGTTCACACGGTCACCCAAGAAGCATGGTGAGTGGGTCCCTGCTCTCCACCCTGGAGCCTGGATGCCTGCAGCAGGCTCATGCCCGGACAGCTGAGGGCCTGACTCATCCTGGGGCTGTCCGGGCTTATGACTGTTCTGGGGAGGGGGAGAGGTCTGTGACACTGAGGGGGAGGGAGAATCCTAAGTCGGGGACAGCCCCAGCTGGGTGCCAGGGTGGGTGGGGAAGAGGAGAGTGGGGGCCGGGGTCACAGGGGTTAGAGTGGAGAATGCCAGTATATGAGGATGCCCGGGTTGGGCCTTAAAGACTAGCCTGGAGGCAGCAGCTTTCCTGGTGGCCCCTCTCAGGTGGGTCCTCAAAGCCAGAGAAATACCAGGGTCCTGGGAGAGCCTCCGGAGGAGCTGCCTTCAAGAGCGAGGCCCCTCCTTGCATGGTGCGAATTTGAGCGGCGCCTTCCCTTCTCAGTTTTCTGTGTCTTTCCACATCAAAAAAAGGTTACATCAAGATGTTTGAGATCCCTGCAGGAGCCAGACACCTGCTCATTCAGGAGGTAGACGCCACCAGCCACCATCTGGGTGAGTCTCAGAGCCGGACAACTTGACGTCCTCAGGACCTGGCTCCTCTGGGATCAATGGGCAGAGTGCCAGGGGTCAGGGGTCAGGGGCCCGGGTTGTGCAGCCATGACCTGAGCCAGGGCAGCCCCTCCCCAACCTGTCCCTCTGCTCAGCCCACCTGGGCCCTTTCCCAGGGTCCTCCCCTTGTGGAGAGGCCAGGGTTTGGGATCAGAGGGCTCCGCTTGGCAGCAGCTATGAAAGGACATATATGCAAAACATGTGTCCCTCAGTCTACAGGATGACTCCCTGTCCCCTGTTCTCACAGTCGGGGCGGGAAGGCCCCCTGCCCTCGGGAAGGCAGGCAGGGTCTGCAGGCAGCAGGGTCCTGGGCAGCCCTCCCATCCCCTCAGCAAGGCCAGCTGTCAGGTGGGTGCACACAGTGCACTTACATTTTCAATTCGTTTAATTTTAAATTCAAGAGATTCCAGCTAAAATAGGGATCCTGGTATCTCCTGAAAATATGGATGTTCTCACACCTCTCGGTGCCCCTTTCCACGAAGCAGCGCTGCCTGGGAGACCACGCCCTCCCAGGCCACGCGGGAGGCTCTCAGGACCTGTCCACCCTCCCTCTGAAGGTGCCTGGGCCCTACCTTCTGGGAATTCATGGGCCAAGGTCAGAAGTGATACCAGGGACTGCTGGGGCCCCTGGATAAGTCCCTTCCCCAATCTGAGCCCCACATTCATCCCCATCCCCAGGAGGCTGGACAGGATTGGGGCTCCCACGCTGCCGTGGACCAGCACCCACGCTGCCTGACAAACATACCATGCCCTTTTATTTTATCTCCCTTTTGTTTTATTTTATTTTGTTTTTATTTAGAGACAGGATCTCACTCTCTTGATACTCATTTTTCTTTCTTACTTTTTTTTTTTTTTTTTTTTTTTTTGAGTCTCGCTCTGTCGCCCAGGCTGGAGTGCAGTGGCCTGATCTTGGCTCACTGCAACCTCCGCCTTCTGGGTTCAAGTGATTCTCCTGCCTCAGCCTCCCAAGTAGCTGGGATTACAGGCGTGTGCCACCATGCCCAGCTAATTTTTTGTATTTTTTACTAGAGACGGGGTTTCACCGTGTTAGCCAGGATGGTCTCCATTTCCTGACCTCGTGATCCGCCTGCCTCGGCCTCCCAAAATGCTGGGATTACAGCTGTGAGCCACTGCACCTCGCCTCTTAAGAGGAAACTTTCGACTGCTACCCTAAATATAAAAACCTGTACCACTTGCCTGAAGCAGGTGAACAGAAAAGTCAGTTTCTGAACAAAAAGACATTTCTGTCCCAACGCTGCTTCCTGCCACCGCCTCTGGGGCTGAGGTCGCTCTCTGTGGAAAGGGAGCAAGGGCCAGAGAGAAGGCAGGGACGTGTGGCACCAAGCAGAGGCTTTGTTTGTGAGTGGACAGAATTACAGGGGACGTGACAGGGAATGATTTTCTCACTAGTGCCCTGTCTGCGGCCCCACTCACATCACCCAGCTGCCCCGCAGCAGCCACCCCCCACACTGCAGAGAGCATGGGGCTTCCTGGCTAGCCAGGTCCTCTGCTCCTAGATGACCTGAGTGTCACCCAATCAGGCCAGGCCTCTTCTGGGGCTGTGGGGAGCTGCTGGGGCCTCGGCTGGGCCATGGTCCCTGATGGGGTGGGGGTTCTGCTGTTTCAGCCAGACATATACTCACCCCATGGCAGGAAGCCCTACTCCAGCAGGGTCATGTGCTCGCCTGTCCAGCAGATGCCCTGCACCGCGTACAGACCCCTCCCAGCCATCCTGCCCCGGGTGGCCTCTAAGCGCCCACTGAGTGCTCCCAATAGGGTATGGGTAGGTGGCCTTGACGGCTACTGAGTGGCTTCCAAGGGGAGCCGGCACCTCCAGGGCTGGTGGGGGCAGAGGATGCGAGTGGAGGGTAATCTGGTCCCGAGGGAGCAGTGATGGGCAAGCAGGGCTCCCAGAGCCATCTGGGCTGTCGTGGCACAGAGGAAACTGGCCGGGGGCAGCCAGAGAGACAAGGGGTCCAGCTAGCTGCCCCCACTCCCCGACCAGCCCAAACCAGTGGGCCTGGGTCCTGCTCTTGGGTGACCACAACGGGGGACTTGGTCTTGCCATTCTCAGCCGTCAAGAACCTGGAGACAGGCAAGTTCATCTTAAATGAAGAGAATGACGTGGATGCCAGTTCCAAAACCTTCATTGCCATGGGCGTGGAGTGGGAGTACAGAGACGAGGACGGCCGGGAGACGCTGCAGACCATGGGCCCCCTCCACGGCACCATCACCGTTCTGGTGAGTCCAAGCAGGGCTGGGCCCAGGGAAGGGTGCGGGTGGCCACTGGGGGAGGGATGGGGGTGCCTGGGACGCTGAGCCTCCTGACCCTTCAGGTGACACTCTGCGTGGCCCCTTTGGCCTGCCTTTGGCACCAAGGGGCTCCGACTTGGTCAGAGCCAGGAAGGGACATGCATCCACGAGCCGGGGCTCTGGACCCCACATGACCCCTAGGTGACCTTGGGCACACTCTCCCTTTGAGGGTTTCGGTTTCACCATCTGAATGACATTCACAGCTGCCATCAGCATGCTCGTTCGAGTGTGCTGTTACATTGGAATCGGTGACACTCTGGGAGGTGACGCTCAGGGTCTGGGAAGCTAGATGCCCAGACCCAGGTTGAGCTGGACTGTGTCTCTAAGCAGGATGGGACCCCAGATCTCCTGGTTGTAGGAAAGTACCACGGGGGCTGGATTTTCAAATCACTTTCTTTTTACCTGGTTTTGAGGAGGTCAGATCACTTTTTAAAATGTAATTTAACTGCATAGGGATATATTTTATTTGTCAAAAAAGGTACATATCACAAATAAGGCTCCCATGCTCTGGAGCCCCTCCCTAAGGTGGGCATGCTGGCATTGGGATTAATCCACCAGCCCCCAGCGCTCCACACGTGGGTGCACCTGTAAGCAGGTGCAGCAGTGAGCCAGGTATGCCCCGTGTACCCCCTGGCACCCTGCCTGCCTCGCCTGCAGTGACTTCTGGCCCCCTGGACGTGCCTTTGGTGACCTGCCTGCATCAGTGTGTGAGCAGCTGGTCCTCGGCACTCACGGTTTCTGTATTTGCAAATTCACCTGCTCACTAAAATTGATTCGTGAGCCCCAAACGGACACGCACAGAGTGGTGAAGTGTGAGTCGCCTGCCACACGTGTTCCCAGCGGAGGTGGGAGCAACTCAGCACGCTGTCTGCTTGTTTCTGCTCTCATCCCACAAACAGGGGTTCTTTCTGCAGTCTGTTGAGTGTCACATACATCACATTTTGTGCTATTTTGGGGGCGATTTCGCTGTTGAAAATCACCCTGAGCCTGTTGCTGAAGTGCTGTCCAGTGTTCCTAAGCCCAGGAAGCAGTGGTGTCTTAAGAAGAAAATACATGTGTTGAATAAGCTTCGTTCAGGCATGGGCTGCAGTGCGATTGACTGTGAGTTCAGTGTTAATGAATCACAGTAAAAATTAAATAAAGTGTCTTTAAACAGACTCACACATAGGCCAGGCGCAGTGGCTCATGCCTGTAATCCCAGTACTTTGGGAGGCCGAGGCGGGTGGATCACTTGAGGTCAGGAGTTCAAGACCAGCCTGGCCAACATGGGGAAGCCCTGTCTCTACTAAAAATACAAAAATTAGCCAGGCGTGGTGGCGGGCGCCTGTAATCCCAGCTACTCAGGAGGCTGAGGCAGGAGAATCGCTTGAACCTGGGAGGCGGAGGTTGCAGTGAGCCGAGATCGTGCCACTACACTCCAGCCTGGGCTACAAGAGCGAAACTCCATCTCAAAAACAAACAAAAACAAACAAAAAAATAAACAGACTCACACATAAAACAAGGTTATATATTGATCGGGTAACAAAAATGTTGAGACAGAGGCTCACAGGAACCTCACCCTGTGCCCCCTGGGGTAATGGCTCCCTATTCAAGAATTTGGTGCTCGGGGCGACTTCATGGAATGTAACTGCCATGAATGATGAGACTCCTCTGGAGTCGGCCTCAGCTGCCGTTCCTAAGCTGGCTGGGGAGGAAGCATGGAGGGCAGGTCAGGCACATCAAGGCTCTTGGGCTGGCACAGGTCATCCCGGTGGGAGACACCCGGGTCTCACTGACGTACAAATACATGATCCATGAGGACTCACTGAATGTCGACGACAACAACGTCCTGGAAGAGGACTCTGTGGTCTACGAGTGGGCCCTGAAGAAGTGGTCTCCGTGCTCCAAGCCCTGTGGCGGAGGTGAGGGGGTCTCGAAGCTGGGGACCTGGGTGACATGAGGGTGACCACGAGAAGGTAGGGAGCATCCCTGGGGTGGGGCCAGCGTGAGCAGGGGCCGAGGAGCCACAGCAGGGACCTTTGCCTGGGTGGGCAAGGGCTTAGCGGCAATGGAGGGGCCGGTGGGTGGGCAGGAAGGGGGGTGCTGGGGCATTGGGTCAAATGTGGCCAAAGGGTGTGTGGGGCATGGACCCTGTATTTGTGGGCCTGCTTCAGTGTGGGGGTGACAGGCTGGCCTAGCAAGAGGTTGATGTGTGGACACCTCAGAAGGATCATGCCGTGGCATTGGCAGGATCGCATAGGCAAGACTCTGGCAGTGCAGATGACACCTCCAGAGGCTTCTCTCTCCGTTCACTGGGAAAAGCCTCCCAGATGTTTCTGGGACAGGGCTGAGCACAGAGGGGTCCTACCCACTCTGGACCCCAGAGAGTCTGCAGTTGATGGGACATAGGACCCAGAGGCAGACAGGAAGCGCTGATCTGTTCTGCGTGCTCCTGGGGGCTGGGCGATACCAGGCAAGTGACCAGGACAGTCCTCCCTCGATGCCATGCTGGGCCCACACCTGGAGGACAAGGAGCTCACCAAGAGGTGGGGTCACTCCCTGGCCCAGGCAGATGGAAGGGTCCTCTTCCAGGGCCCCTGGGCACCCCCGGCCCCACACCGGGCCTGGATTTCATCAGCGCATCCACCCCTGGTGATTCCTGAAATCTCCTGGGCCTGTGTGCTCTTCCCATCTTCCTGGCCATTCCCCGGTCCTGGCACCCACCTTCCTCTGGACTGGCCCTTGTGTGTCCACTCTCACCCCAAAGTAACCGTTTGAGGGAACACATCAGACAATGTCTCTCTCTTCCTGGTGTCATAGTCTTCAACAGCTTCCTCTGCTCTTAGGATAAAAAACAAAATTCTCCTCATGGCCTCCAGGGTTGGGGCAACTTGTTGGCCTCTCCCAGTATATCTCCACCCTGTGCCTCGCCCCCAGGTCCTGGCCACGCCGGCCTTAAGGGCTTTTCCTGGATACACACCATGTCCCACCTTGGGGCCTCTGCGCAGGCTTCTCCTCGCCTGAGCCCCTCCACCGCCCTGCCACCACGTCAGCCTCCCCAGCCTCTGCTTCCTGGGATGCCTCCAGGCACCCAGAGGAGGTCAGGCTTTATCTCCATGCTTTCTTTGGTCTTACCCAGCAGGCCAGGGTTTCGAAGCCTGGGCATCACTGACATTTTGGGCTCTGTCACTCGCCGCCATGGGGGCTGTCCTGTGCACGGTGGGGTGTCAAGCAGCATCCTTGGCCTTTGCTCACCAGATGCCAGTAGCACCCCTTCCCCCAGTTGTGACAACCAAACATGTCCCAGACGTGGCCAAATGTCCCCTGCTGGAGAAAATCACCCGGGTTGAGCACGGCTGCTCTGGGCCTGTGGGAGGAAGCATGCGGGCTGCGGGCCCAGTGCTTGCCCGGCTCCTGGCTTGCACCAGGCCTGCTGGGCATGTGAGGTCAAGGTAGAAGCGGTGCCTAGCAGTAGCAAGGAAATAGGGCCTCCACTCTGACCCAGGAGCCCAGTGAGGGAGAGGCAGCCTAGGGGAGAAAATGGCCTCTCCTGCCCTCTCGCCCCTCCACCCGGGACACACCAAGGCCTCCCCCCAGCCAGCCGCAGGCTCGGTGCCCTGCCCACCCTTATTGTCATCACAAGGGTGAGCAGGAAAACGAGGCCAGCACTGCTGGTGCAGCCCACCCCTCCTTGCACCCTCGGGCAGGGCATGCTGCCCCACCGACCCCCGTCGAGCTCTCTGCCTTCAGGGTCCCAGTTCACCAAGTATGGCTGCCGCCGGAGGCTGGACCACAAGATGGTACACCGTGGCTTCTGTGCCGCCCTCTCGAAGCCCAAAGCCATCCGCAGAGCGTGCAACCCACAGGAATGCTCCCAGCCAGTGTGAGTGCCCCCAGCTCGGGCTCCCACTAGAGGAGACAGGCCAGGGGCCACCAGGGGCTCCCGTGCTTGGAGGTGTGGGGCCTGGGCCTGGCATCATCCGAGGCATTTGACCAAGTCTCTCTCACCACATTTCATGGAATCTAAGATGCTGCAGGGCAGAAGGCGCACCCCAGCTTCAAACCCGCCAAACTGAACAGCATCTTAGAGATGACAAGAAACAGGGATGCCCAGATGGGGAAATGGGGGTTCAGAGGCGCAGGGCTCGCCTCCTGGCCCTGTACCACGGGGTAGATGTTTCTTAAGCAGTGGCTTTGACGTTCAGGCCCTGGGGCTGGGCCCAGCTGCGTTTCTGGGTCCAGGGACCTCAGTGGGGAAGACAGTTGGGAAATGGGCAGGTGGGGGCCACATAGGACAGCGTGCTGAGGGAATCCACACTGCTCTTGAGCTCTGCCGAGAAGGATTTGTGACGTCAGCAGAAGGTGAGGCCAGGTAGCAGGGCCCAGACCCTAAGGAGGCTGGGAAACCTCTTCAGGCTAGGGACCTCCAGAGCCACCAGCTCCACCAGGGCCTCCCAGTGGTGACATGCATGGGACTCATGGTCAGTAGGACCTGGGGCAGCTGAGCCTCAGTTTCCCCTCTGTGCAAGCCTGGACAGCCAGCATCTTAGTGAGAATAAGAGAAGGTGCACCGGGGAGGGGTGCAGGCTGCCCTCTGTGCTCGCTGTCTACCTGGGCTGCAGGGAGCGGCGCTGGAGCTCAGCCAGGCAGGTTCTCCAGGTGCTGCGGAAGCCTGACTGTGCCCCGCTCTGCCCTGGCAGGTGGGTCACAGGCGAATGGGAGCCATGTAGCCAGACCTGTGGGCGGACAGGCATGCAGGTGCGCTCCGTGCGCTGCATTCAGCCGCTACACGACAACACCACCCGCTCCGTGCACGCCAAGCACTGCAATGACGCCCGGCCCGAGAGCCGCCGGGCCTGCAGCCGCGAGCTCTGCCCTGGTCGTTGGCGAGCCGGGCCCTGGTCCCAGGTACGCAATCCCCCGATCCCGTGTCCTCAGCTCCAAAACTGAGGGTGGACAGGCATGCAGGTGCGCTCCGTGCGCTGCATTCAGCCGCTACACAACACCACCACCCGCTCCGTGCATGCCAAGCACTGCAATGACGCCCGGCCTGAGAGCCGCCGGGCCTGCAGCAGCGAGCTCTGCCCTGATCATTGGCGAGCCGGGCCCTGGTCCCAGGTAAGCAATCCCCTGATCCCGTGTCCTCAGCTCCCAAACTGAGCTTGGGTGGGACTGAGGTGACCAGAGCATTCCCCTTTCGGCCCGTGGGCCTGGATGTAGCTCCTGTCCTGAGCCACATCCTGTGGGTTTCACGGCGCCAGTGGCTGCCACGTGGTCAGTGCTGTACTAAGAAACCAGTGGAATGTGTGTCTTCACTGCACAGGCAGAGGCTTCTGCATGATACGGGGTCTGGAATCCCAGGAAACTGAGGGTAGCCCGGGCTCCGAGGCCCAGTAGGATGTTCGGGGCTCCAGGATCCTAGGGGACGCCTGGGTCTCATGCAGAGGTGGGAGGGGACAAACTCGCAGGAGGGGAGAAGAGCAGGGCGTGCTTAGGCTTGTGCTGGGAGGAAGAATGAGGATGGACTGAAGGGCTTCAGGGGTGGTCCTAGGGGCAGGGCCTGAGAGCCAGCTGAGGCCAGGACAGAGCTGACGTGAGCTCTGACAGCCCGGTCACATGCAGGGCCCACGCTGGCAGAGCTGGAGGAGCGTGTGTCAGGGGCTCCCCAAGACCACCCTCAGGCTCAGTAATCCACTAGAAGGACTCACAGACTCAGAAGCGGGACTTGCAGTTGCAGGGGCTTACGGTGAAAGGATACAGAGTAGAATCGGGAAAAAGAAAAGTCACAGGCAAGGAGGTTGGGAGGAATCCAGGCGCAGGCTCCCGGTGTCCCCTCCCAGTGGGGTCACGGAAATGCCCTGAATTCTCCCTGCACCCATGTGTGGCAATGCATGTGAAATGCTGCCAAGCAGGGGAGCCCACCAGAGCCTGGGCGTCCAGGGTTTTCAATGGGGTCAGCTACATAGGTGTGACCTCAGACTGTAGAGGAAAAGCAGGTGTTCCCCATCCATCACTGTTGGTATGAACTACCCAGACCAACTGGTACTGGTGACTCAAGGCCTCAGGCAGGCAAAAACACTCTTAATAGGTGGAGCCTTCCATGAGCTTGGTTCCCAGGAGCTGCACAAGGGCCAGTCTTGAAAACAGGCGTTGGCCGGGCACAGTGGCTTACGCCAGTGATCCCAGCACTTTGGGAGGCCCAGGCGGGTGGATCGCCTGAACTCAGGTGTTAGAGACCAGCCTGGGCGGCATGGCAAAACACCGTCTTTACAAAAAAATTAAAAAAAATTAGCCAGATGTGGTGGCGTGTGCCTGTACTCCCTGCTCCTCGGGAGGCTAAGGTGGGAGGATTGCTTGAGCCTGGGAGGTGGAGGTTGCAGTGTGCTGATATCGTGCCACTGTACTCCAGCCTGGGCCACACAGCGAGATCCTGTCTCGAAACCAACAACAAAAGAAACAAAACAAAACAAAACAAAAACACAGACCTTTGTTGGGAATGTGCAGGCTTTGAGCAATCCAGGTCTGCTGAGTCAGCCTTTTCCTGTGCACCTGGTGAGGCCTGGAGAATTTTCCTTGGGCAAGGCTGGGCGTGACTGCTCCTTCTGGCACCTCCCTGGTCAGTGTGGTGGAGCAGTGGTGGTGCTGGGGGCTGGAGGAGCCAGTGAGGGCACTAGTGGTGGACCCTCATGCCCAGGATTGTGGGGAGCCTACTGGCGCCTCCTAGGCTGGGTCAGAGCTTTCCCAGTGCCCCACCTCAACCCCTGCCCAGGGCACAGCAGGTTCTCCTGGGCCTTGGACCTCCTCCAGCCAGAGAAGTGAGGCTGTCACTGAGAGTCCAGCAGCGCCAGGCCTATGCCAGTCTGTATATGGGCACTGTCTCACAGCAGCTCAGAGAGACAGGCATGTGGGTCCCTTCTTTAGAGCCCCAGGAGATTGGGGCTGCCCCCGAGGGTGGGGCAAGGCAACCTGAAACCCCACTCTCCCCACTGTCCCACACCTCCTCCTGAGCGCATGGGTCATGTGCCTGGGGACTGTGGGCTCCTCCAGCTCTGCCAGTGCGGGCCCTGTGTGGGAGGTGAACCCTGCCTGGCGACTCTCCCCCTGCAGTGCTCAGTAACCTGTGGCAACGGCACCCAGGAGCGGCCAGTGCTCTGCCGCACCGCGGACGACAGCTTCGGCATCTGCCAGGAGGAGCGTCCTGAGACAGCGAGGACCTGCAGGCTTGGCCCCTGTCCCCGTAAGCCACCTGCAGCCCCTGCCCCTGCTCCCAGCATGCAGCAGCCCAGGGCGGGGGTGTCAGAGGCTTGGTTCAGGCAAATCTGGCTCTTCCCGGAGAGTAGCTGGACTCAACATCTGTGAGCATGGAGAAGCGGGGCACTGCAGGCCAGGTCTGGGACCTTTGCCTGGCAGGAAATGGAGGGAGCTGTGTGGAGCTGACTCGCCCCTCCCTGCTTTCAGGGCACTGCAGACTCACGGTGACAGCAGGACTCGGCCAGCTAGGGAATGCTGGTGGCTATGGTGTAGGGGGTGCCTGTGTGAATAGGGGGACGCCTGTGCGAGTAGAGAGTGTGCTCTGTGACCTTTGAGGAGAACCAGAATACCTACCACGCACAGATGCCTGTCCAAACGCTATACATGTGTCACCTCTAAGGTCTCCACACAGTTCAAGACTGGACCGTGCCTGCCACAGTTCCCTTCTATAGAGGAGGGAGCTCTGGGGGGTCTAGGCACCTGCCCCCAGCTGGGGAGGGTGTATCCAGGATCTCTCATTCCCCTGGCACTCTCTGTCCAAGCTTTCTGGGAGCTCAGAGCTCGAGTCAGCAGGTGGAACCCGGGGCGCGGGCAGGGTGCAGGGGCAGAGGAGCCGGCCCAGAAAAGGAGGCGGCAGGGCCTGCATGCCAGGGCAGCGAGAGGGACGGGATAGCTGAGACCCAGCTGAGACCCCGGCTGCTGTCAGGAGGGGCAGGAGGTGGGCGTGGACTTGGCAGCGGAGGACCCTTTGTCCGCCCGGGGAGGCGAGGGCCTTGAATGACGCTTCCCCAGGACCCCGGGAGACCCGGAGCCTCTCTGCCTGGGGTGGGGGCCCCAGCCTGGTGCCCTGCGGCCGCAGCCCCTCTCTCCTCCCTCTAGGAAACATCTCAGATCCCTCCAAGAAGAGCTACGTAGTTCAGTGGCTGTCCCGCCCGGACCCCGACTCGCCCATCCGGAAGATCTCGTCAAGTAACCGACCCGTTTATAACTCTGCCTCTGCCCTCCAGTGCATGCCCTGCGCCCTGTGGAGCTTGCCTTGGGCCCCCCTCCTCTCTGTCTATGGAAAGCTCCCCTGACTCTGCGGGCGCGCTCTGGGGTGACCGTTTTCTCCCGGGCCTCTGAGCTCGGCGTCCGCTCCGGGCCGCGCTGCCTGCTGGCGGGGGCTCGGGCCTCTGCTGGGGCCGAACCTGGTTGGTGATGGCTTGTAAAGGGGCAAAGATCTGTCGTGGTTGCAGGAGGGGCCGGTGGCCAAAGGGCGACCCTCCGGGCCGAGCCCGTCCCGGCCCGGGGGGGTTCGCGGTCTCGCGGCGTCGTGCGGGGACCCCACCCCGAGTTTCCGGCACTGCCAGGTGCTTCCCGGCTGCCACCGCCGTCGCTGCTGCCGCCGACCCTTTGCTGAGCGTGTCCTTCTGACTCGTGGAACTATGGCCCGCTTCCGCCCGGCCTTCGCGCAGCTCACAGCCCCGCGCGGCCCTGTCCTGCGGGGGTCCGGTCGCGGAGGCGGCGGAGGGGCGCGGGGACACTCCCCACCTCCACTGTCCGCCCGTCGGCCCCGGTGGCCTTTTCTCGCCTCGCGCACAGCTCCCCCGCCGCAGGGCTGAGAGAGAGAGTGGCCGTCTGGTGCGCGCGTGCCTCGCCCACGCGTGTGAACCACTACAGAATTACCTCAATTTTTATTGCTTTTTTGCTTAGAAAAACTATGTAGAAGATGCCTTAAAGTTGAAAGGTAACGGGATTGGCTGCCAACTCCAGCTTCAGAGGGGGAACGTGGGCCAGTAGAAGGCAGGGAAGGTGTAGGGGAGCCGGTGCGTTCATCCACCTTTTGCCAAGGTTGAGGTTTCCAAGTGCAGACGGCTTCTCTCCTTGGGCTGAGCGGTGCGCACCGTCCGTCTCCGCGGACTGGAGTCTGCCCTGATGCCCCACTGGCCAGTCGGCGCTGACTGTTGCATGGAGCCCCCGAGGGTGCTCCACAGCGCGGCCTTACACCCAGGGGGCGACCCCCTGGGCCCTGAGCCGCGATCCATGTAGCACTCCTCCCCGCCCCTCCACCCCAGCCACCGCCTCTGTTCACACCGCACCCCTGCCGGGCGGCCGGCCCCTACTCCCGCGGCTCTGACCGCCGTTCTGTAAATAACTGGTGTGCACCTGCGTACTAATCTCACGACTGTTAACTTCCAACTTTGACGAGGCCATGCGAGCGACACGCGCGACTGGGGAAGGTGCAATACTGTCCTGGGCATATGCACTTTGGTTTATCAGGGATATTTTATTAGTGTTTTGTATGTATTTAATGACGTATTCTATAGGTTCCATTGTCGTTGCTTTTCTGGTTTTTTTTATGAGACGTTAGCGTGTGCCAAAGTGACTGTGAAAATGACCTTTCATTCTTACTAATGATGGAAAGACCTCCTGTCATGCATCCCACAAATAAACTCAATAAAAGTTCCATGAAACTGGGTGCGTGGGTTTGGCAAGCTGATGGCTCCTTCTCTTTTTGGGGGCCCAGACACTGAGGAGTTGCGGGGCCTCACTCAGTAGCATTAACTACCCCGGTTTCTAATTTGAATGACTTTACTGCCCCACTCCCCACTGCCCAACATAGATATTTAGGGCCCCTCCCCCTGAAAGGTGTATCTCCCCTCCCCAGGTATTTTCCAAAATCTGATAGCAAACCGTGCAGACACCCCACCGTGACTCCGGGTTTTGAATCATGTCATATGAGCACCTCGCAAGAATATCTAGGTTCTATATGGAGGTCTCCTCGTCAGGAAAAGGGCCCGAGATGGGTTTCTCCTCATCTTTGGAGCAGAGCCTGTGGAGTGGGAATGTGGGGTCAGTAGCCCAGACATTGCTAGTCCAGGTCACCTGCCGTGAGCCACCAGCAGGTCACTACCCTGGCTCCAGGCACAGTTCTCGGCCTTGGGCTACTCGTCCAGGAAGGGAGAGGTGCCCATCCGGCTCAGGTGGGGGGCTGGGCCAGCCCCGGGAAAGCCTGGGTCGGGAGAGGGGCAGGGCAGTGGTGGCTCTCTGGGCAACTGGCCTGCCCATGTCTTCCAAGGTCTTCCCAGGCAGCCACAGGGCCTGTGTTCTCTCACATTGCTGAAAATGGCCAGAAAGAGGGTCTGGGTTCAAGAGGGACCTCCTGACCTGGGGCCTGGGCTGTGTCCTGCCCATGGAAGTCTCACTCCTCCCTTTTCTGTACCACTGAGGAGTCCCACCAGGGAGAGGGAAGAAAGCGTGGAAGGCCATGAGAAAGAACAGTGGGGAGCAGCCCAGTGTCATGGGGACAGGCCTTGGGCATAGGGCCGGGCCCGGGGGCTAGCCTGGGGAGGGAGCAACCATGGTAGCGATGGCTGAGTTCAGCCTGCCCAGAGCTCAGATCATTGATCATCAAAAGCAATCGCAGCTTAAAGGAGACAAGAAGCATCAGGGAAAATTGGGTCAGACAGTGCTTCCCTCCACTCAGTCTCTCTTCCCAGAGATGGGTCAGGAGCAATTCCCGCTAAGAGGCTCCTAGGCCAGAGCTAGAGACGCCGCCTACAGCCCAGGTGCCAAGGAGGGCACATCTGGAGGGGGGTGCCTCTTGCTTTTTTAACCAGCTGCATGACCTTTTGAATGTTGGCATGGGTGTCTGAGCCTACCACTCCTTTACTGAGAAATGAGAATGAGGTATTCTCCATCCAGCATTTTCCAAAGCATGGGAAATGGAAGGTGATTCGGTGGTGCATAAACATAGCTGGGGCTGCACTGCACTGAGCGGTCCCTTCCTAGTTCCCTTTATGCTTTATGGTGACCTCAGGAAGAAAGCCTCACTTGCTACCAGCTTTAGCCTGTCTCACATTTGCTCATTTCCCTTCAGCTCAGAGCTTGGCAGGCAGGAGTCTCTCTCTAGAATTTGATGAGTTAAAGTGTGACTTTGAAATTGACTTTAAAAGGACTTTAAACTTTTTTTTTGTATTCCTATTTTAGGGTTACCTTTGTTCACTGCAGTAGCTTTCCATGAGTGGTAATAGTATAAGGTCTTCTAAAACAAATTTTAAGTGTAAAAAGGAGTTAATTTAAAGGATATGACTAAGCAAATAATAATGCAGGTGCTGTTCAGGTGTAGCCAAGATCGTGGGAGTAGCCTACAGTGACTTAAGTTTATGAAAACTGTGTTTACTCTCAATGGTTGATTGTCATTCACTGGAAGACAATAGGTCTCACTACTTGATTGCTACTGGAAATGGCCGAAGACCAAATATTGTAAAACCACAGTGTTCATCTTGGCGGAGAGGCATCGCCAGTCATTACCTCAGGTGCATCACTCTTCTCTGTGGTCCGTGATGATACTTAAAAATGTACAAACCTGGGGCATCTTTAAGATCAGTTGGTCATGATGACTTTGAAATTTTTCTAGGCTATTTTGAAATTTTCCTAGGCTATTTGCATAGTCAATCTCTTGGCCAGGATTTTATTTCAATTTTGTATTTACTCATTGACGTATTTTTATTTTTTTAAACTAAGAGCAATGCCGCCCACTGTGGGGAGAAAATCAGACATAGAAGTCCAGTATGTAGACCAGGTGGAAGGGGGACCCCACCTGGGGCTGCCACCCCTCACTCAATGGGCATTTATGGAGCACTTTCTCGTGCATGGCTCTGACCTAGGCGTGCACTTGACCCACGATCAGTCAACCTTTTCTGTAAAGGGCCAGGTAGTCAATATTTTGGGCATTGGAGCCCACATGGTCTCTGTCACAGGACTCAGCTCTGCCTTTATAGTGGGAAAGCAGCCACAGATAAGAAATGCATGGGCCGGGCACAGTGGCTTACACCTGTAATCCCAGCACTTTGGGAGGCTGAGGTGGATGGATCACAAGGTCAGGAGTTCAAGACCAGCCTGACCAACATAGCGAAACCCCGTCTCTACTAAAAATACAAAAATTAGCCGGGCATGGTGGCACGCACCTGTAGTCCCAGCTACTCGGGAGGCTCTTGAACCCAGGAGGCGGAGGTTGCAGTGAGCCAAGATCACGCCACTGCACTCCAGCCTGGGCGACAGAGCAAGACTTCATCTCAAAAAAAAAAAAAAAAATGCATGGGCATGGGCCTGATCCAATAAAACTTTATTTACAAAACCAGGTGGAGGGAGGGACTTGGCACACTAGCCGTAGATGGCCCACCACTGTACCAGGCTGATGTGATTCCTGCTTTTCAGGGATCCCAGCCTGGTGGGGGAGACAGTGAGGGAGTGGAGATGTGGATAAATGTGTAACACCAGCCTTATCTGTGTGAAGGAAAAACTATGGGCAACAGGAGAGGGGGCAGTGTGCAGCCAGGGTGTCCCTCCCAGCACCATCAGGCCCAGGCTCCCTCCTTTGTCAAAGCCTATGGGGTAGGGAGAAGGGAGGCCACCATCAGCTCTTATCCAGAACCCCCTGTGTTTCCCTGAGGGTAGGGCTCAGTGGTTTCACAAACCAGGCTGCTGGAGAGGATGGGGTGGGGCAGGGATGGGAGCTCTGTGTCTCCTCCACCCACCTTCAAACAGTACTATCATCAGCAGTCTGAGTCTATCTGTTTCATATATTGGGCACCTGTGTAAGATTTTTATCTGAGAAAAGCCTTCTGCCAGTTTCAAAATCCTGACAGCCACATCTCAGGATCTTCCGATTTGATTTCTGGCATCTCCCCTGGGTACCAGGCCCTCCCCCTTCCTCCTTGGCACTGTGAGCATGGTTCTTGGGCTCAGTGTCAGGGAGATCCCCACTTCTCCTGATGGCCGATGGGTTTTAACTCCCTTTTCATGGTGGACCCTGCAGCCAGTCATGTGTTCTCCTTATTTTGGCCACGTAGAAGCTCAGGGCCGAAGTCGGGCACCCTCTGATGCATGGGCCTCCCTGCATTCTTCTTGCCTGGAAATTGCCATTTTCAGATTCAAAATTTCCCTGTTTTGAACTTCCTCAGTTATTCACATTGATCTTTTTCATACCTTATCTTTTTTATGCCTTTATGCATTATTTGGTTCACTGTTCTAGGCTCTGGGGCTCTGCCCTGTGGAGCTTTCAGGATAATGAAAAAGTCTGGCACTAGTCATTCATCTGACAATTAGATGCGAGCTTGGCTGGGAAGGCACAGCTGCTGAGACCGTGTGCTGCAGAGACCTTACCTGCTCAAGGAGGTCAGGCGATGCCTGCCTGAGGAAGATGTGCTCCAACTGCCCCTGAAGGAGGAAGGGTGGTAGCTGGAGGCAGGAGAGAGGCATTGCATGTGCAAAGGCCCTGTGGCCAAAAGGAGTTCCATGCAGAGCAAGGAGTCTAAGGCCAGAGGGAGGTTGGAAAGGGGAAAGGGACAGGTCAGGGACTTCAAGTGGCGGGGGGTGGGGGGGGGGTGCCGTGGTCACATCTTCAGTGAGAAAACAGCATTCTGACTGAAGCAGGATAGCTGGATGACATGGGTGAAGAATGGACACAGACCCCTCCCATAGTGCAGCCAAGAGGCAGCTCAGCCAGGGTGGAGGTGGGAGACGGGGAGGAACAAGGGCATATCTGAGAGTGTCTAGGACGGGGCACCCAGGTGTTTGGCTTGTGTGCCTGAAACACCATGCACCGAGACAGGGTGGGCAGCAGAGGCCCTAAGCTCACGCTGCAGGGGTTGGGTCTCGGGCTTTTGGGACCCACAGGCCCTTGGTGGATTTGGCTTGTAGCAAGTCTGAAGCTTCAGGGGTTTGGAGCTGGTGGTCTGTCACCAGCTTCTAAGGGAAAATTACAGGCTGGAGCAGTGGCCATTAAGAAGCAGGACATCAGAACCACTGGCCCTCGATGGAAGGAAGGGGGTCTTGTCTGTTTTGGACAGCTTCAGGTGTAGATTGTGTCATATGTTGGTGTATGGGATAACTGTCAGATGTGGCTCCCATCCAATGCCTGAGCCTTTCTCCCTCCCTTTCTCCCTCCCTTTCCTCCTCCCTTTCTTCCTTTTGTCCCTCCCTCCCTTTCCTTTTTTCCTTTCTTTCCTTCCTTCAGTTCCTCCTTCCTTTCACCCTCTCCCTCCTTCCTTCCTTTCAATAGTAGATGAGTTCAACTAAGGAGAGTGAGGGAAAAGGAGGGCACGTCGGGGGTTTGTGTGGGAAAGGTCTGAAGTCATCACTGTGGAGAGTAGAGAGCAGCTGAGCAGAGACCACAACAGGCGGTGTTGGGCTCACGGAGGTCAGTGATTCGGAATTTATACTGGATCAAGTATCTCCTGTAACATGACTTATTCTTTCTTCTTGAGTGAATTTTTTAAAATCATCTTAATTTTTGTGTTGTGGAATGAGGGGATGGGGAGAGGGAAGGGGTGAAAACTTGGGAAGGAGACAGAGAGTAAAGAGAGTGTGAGCGCAAGAAGAGTTGATGGGTTGAATGAACATAGCCGCAGACAGAGGTCGAGATGGGCCAGGGAGAAGATGGCTGGGTGGAAAGTGAGAGATAATGGTGGCTTCTGTGGAGAGTCGGGGCTCTCCATGTAAGCTGGACCACAGATGACCAGTTTCTTGGGTGGAAAGGAAAGAGAAAGATGTGCAGGGTGGAACGATTAATCTATGTGAGGGCAGCACGTTTCTTTGGGAAATGGCTGGATGCGCAAGGTGGCGGTGCTATAGGGGGATGGAGCAGAGGCTGGAAATGAGGTTGTTGGGTAAGTTGAGGCAAGTATAAGAAAGCCCATGCAGGTTTGGGTGATGTTTAACTTTCCTTTAGGTGCTGTTCAGTTAAAAGATCGTCCGGGGCATCTGGGTCAGAATGGGAGCAACATCAGGGAGTTGTGGAGCATGGTGGGGCCACAGCGGCCCTGGGATTTGCTATATTGGGTCTTAGGAATTGGCTCTTTTAGGTTTAATTTTGTTATAGTTACTACTTAGAGATTATTGTAGAGTCAAGCCTTGCCACAGAATTTCACTGGGGTTACCACTGGGATGTCAAATGTGAAGATGTGATAAAGTCCTATTCTTTAAGATGAGTTTGGAATCACTCTGTAAGAACAAACGGGCCTCATTTCTTTCTCAAACTTTAAGAGATACTGAAACATCCAGGTTCAACTGGGGCCTGCTTGGAAGAGGGAAGCCTTGCTCACAGCTTGTGTGTCAGCACTTCCAGGCAGGGGTCCCTGGACACTGCCTGCACTGGGGATGCTTTGACACTGAACCCACACAGACTTTCTGCCTGGGCTCACTTGCCTCTGTGCTGTCTCTGGGCTCTTCCATATGCCTCCTCCAGCAAGCTGCACCCTGTGGGGGAACAAAGTCCCCCTTATCTTGTCCTTTGGTTATTTGTCCCACTTTTCTTTTTCAGAGGGCCACTGCCAAGGCGACAAGTCAATATTCTGTAGGATGGAAGTCTTGTCCCGCTATTGCTCCATCCCAGGCTACAACAAGCTGTGCTGCAAGTCCTGTAACCTGTACAACAACCTCACCAACGTGGAGGGCAGGATAGAGCCACCGCCTGGGAAGCACAACGACATTGACGTGTTCATGCCTACCCTCCCAGTGCCCACTGTAGCCATGGAGGTGCGGCCATCACCAAGCACCCCCCTGGAGGTCCCTCTCAATGCCTCCAGCACCAATGCCACAGAGGATCACCCAGAAACCAATGCCGTAGATGAACCCTACAAAATCCATGGCCTGGAAGATGAAGTCCAGCCACCCAACCTAATCCCTCGACGACCGAGCCCCTATGAAAAGACCAGAAACCAAAGAATCCAAGAGCTCATTGATGAGATGCGGAAGAAAGAGATGCTCGGAAAGTTCTAATAAAATGGAAAGATAGCATCCCTAGCATTTTTTTCTTGCTTATAGAGATATTCCATGGGATAGCAAATCCTGTGTCATGGAGATGAAGTCAAAATTCCTGATTCCAAAAGGTTTTGAGAAAACAAAGAGGGGGAATGACGTAAGAAAGATAGGCATGAGCATGTGGTAACTAGGTTAGCACGTGTGCTTCCCAGCCCAGGAGCGACCAAATACTGTGGTGGCGTCAGGTGTGCAGTGGAGAGGAATATAGAGGCTGTATGGCCTCCCTCAGTGAGGGCAGGGCAAGAGGGATCACTCTGAGAGAACAAAAATAGGCCCCAAGTTGCTAAGCAGTGATTGGGAACCTTCCTTTCCTTGGCGGAGATGCATGACATTCCCTACCGATCCCCAGACACAGCCTGTGGGACTCTTAGGAGAAATGGTGATTTACTGAATAACTGACCCGTTGCCGAGATGAGTACAATGAAGTGGAGGTGATGAACTCAAATCGTCTTCCAGGGCCAGGCGGCTGACCGGGGTGAGCGTAGTGGCCCGCTGGGGACCATGGCCGCCCTGACAGCCACACCCACCTGGAGCTGACTTGGTTCTGGCTGTTGCTGCCACTGTGAAATCTGTATCTCTCTCCATCTCTGCTCTACTATCCCCGGCCTTGCCAGACAGTGTTCTTTTTCGGAAGAAGTCTAGATTTTTGCATGAAAAAAACTCAATCTTTAAAGGTCGACTCAGAACATTTTAAGGAGGCCTCCACTTGGTCTGATGCAGTCTTGCTAATTAAGAACTAAAGGCCTTCTGACCTTCTTGGTGCTCATGCTGTACGGCATCTGAATGTCTCGACCGAGTCTGAGCCGTGCAGCTGTCCTCCACCTGCGAAAGTAATGAGAATCCTATCACGGGACATAAGGATAGGTCTAAACAGGGTCCATGCCAAGAAAACAGTGGGGTGCTCTCCCAGGCCTCTCCCCTGTCCACTAACCCTGGCCTTGCCGGCTGCCTTCCAGGCTCTGGGGGAAGAGCTCCTGCATTCTTCCCTGGCCACCTTGGCTCCAGGGCTCCCCAGAGAGCCTCTTCCCTCCCCAAGTACCTGAGAAAGATGAGAGAGGCACGTGCTCTGCTGGGAAGGTCCAGTGAGCGGTTCAAGGGCCTGGAATCTCCCTACGGCCAAGTCTAAGGGTTCTGGGATTCTGGGCTTTGTGGGCTTTGCTTGCTTGCTGGGAATGGGCTTTCCCTGTCCCGCCCTGCCCCACCTCGCCTCTGTCTCTCAGAAGCTCCAGAACCCAGCAGTGACCTGCAAAATGTGGCCTCTGATGGGGGCTTAGGGTGGGAGATGGGGAGAGCCTACATTGTCTTTTGCTCCTTGAAAACTTTAATAGCTCCTATTTTCCAGAGAATGGTGCTTTGTGAGCAACATGCGAGTAAGAGAGAAATAGGAGGAAGGGGGAGTAGGGGCGGATGGGAGAAGAGTGGCTCATTTTTACCTCTCACTGCCTTGACATTTTGTGAACGTGAAGCTTAAACTTTCTGGGCTTACAAGACCCAGGGGCACGTCAGCTCCTTAGATGGGCTCAGCCTGACACATAATTCTTAAACCTTTCCTGTTTAAGAAACTTCTAGAGGCTGTGTACTCTCACCAATCCTCTTCGAGAATTTGTTCATGTGTATTTCCCCATTATATGGATGAGGCTCAGGATAACAGCATAGTGGCTACCTTCTACTGAGTTTTGAGGTGCTAATAAGTATGTTTGTCTGAGGCTGCACATGTGGGTGGCTCTGTGTGTATGATCCAAGGGACAAAATGACGATGTAGGAACCAGCAAGAACGGAATCTGGGCTGATGCTTCAGTCTCCACCTGGGTGATGGCTAGCCTCCCGCCCTCCACCACCGCATCCCACACGTGCTGCGCACTGTCCCCGTGTCTCCTGGAGAACCAAACTGGAGAAAACCTTTCTGAGTATCTCTCATAGTACCCCTTCCTTAAGAAGATGTGGTTTAGAGCATGTGTGCAATCCTGCCTCTGTAATTAGGAAACGGAGCCCGAGGCTTTCCATTGTTGGTTGAACCCAGGACAGCTGGTGCTATTCACAGGCTGAAGAACTGGGCAGTTCTTACTTGGGTCTGTCCTAGGATGTGGAGGAAGTTCAGGACTAACGCTAGGCAGAGAGTATGACTCGGTTTACCCAGCCTAGGGGCCTCTGGATGGGAACACTCCATTCCAAGATCTCAGCAGAGCAGGGCTTCCTGGCTTGAGGCTGGAAGCCTTTGGGAAGAGGCCCAGCTGGGACATTCCCTGGGCACCTGTCTTCCGCTGAAGGGAGCAAGGTGCCCTCTGGGACTGACAGCCATGACCCTCTGTGCCATCCTCAATCCTTGAGCCATATATCAAGAGTCCTCTAGAGCCGGATGGTCCTCAAAAGTCTGTCCAAGGAATGCCAACGTTCACCGGGCTCTGAGAAACGACGCAAATCTCTGAGCTGGGGACCACTTGGAGAACCGGCTTAGTAACAGTCCTGATCTTCGCAAGCCAGCTTCTTCTGCATCTGAGGGGCTCCTGGCGCCCAGAGGAGGCAGACAGATGTCTTCTAGCTGAGTTTCTAACCGCATGATGAGACTCAGACCTTCCGCTGCACTAGAAAATCTGCAACAGTGTCCCTGAGTCACTTCTCCTTAGTGGGCAGACTCGTGTTAGATTTGTGGAACCCAGCTCTCTGATTTACTCCTTTTGGAAAACCCATGGAATTTCATGTATAAGGCTTTCATTTGTATTTTAAGGTTTTTCTGTTTGTTTTGAGTATATACATGGTGCTCAATAGCAACATCTTAGCAGATGAAGCAGTTTATGATTCCACTCCCTCCTGTATGACAGGTAGCCACTATACTGAATCAAGGTGCTGAACTCAAATCACAAAATTCTGGCTTACCGATACAACAACCAATACATCTTTGTTCTGTAATGTAAAATTTGACTCCTTACTTTTATAACTTATTAAAGTTAAAATGTCTGTGTTTTTGCAAATCATGCCTGCGTTTGTTGTTGTCTTCATTACACTTGTGCCCGTGCCTGGCTGGAACGTGGGCAGAATGGAAGGAGGTGCTGCCTTCACAAGGCCGAGAGGTCAGGGCGCCGGGGAGCATTGAGCCAGGGCTGCTCAAGGGAGAACCATGCAAAGGGCAGAAGGCACCCCGAAGAAAGGCTCCCTCTCCTAGCTCCCCACGGGTCGGCTCTCCAAGTCACATGACTGAGCCAAGGGCCCCAACCAAACCTTTAGTTCAGGGAAGAGATGAAGAGTCTCCAGACATCTCCTCCCTGATGACAATCCCTTCTCTCCTATGATTAGGGCTTCCAGAAAAAATACTAGATGCACAGTGAAATTTGAATTTCAGAGAAACAACACACATGCTTTTTTTTAGCATGAAAATGAGACATATTTATACTAAGAAATTATTTTTTGTTTCTCTGAAATGCAAATTTAACTGAGAATCCTGTGTTATTTGTTAAATTTGGTCACCCAACTTGTACTTCGTGTTCCACTTCTTTTTTTTTTTTTTCTTTTGAGACGGAGTCTCGCTCTGTCACCCAGGCTGGAGAGCAGCGGCGCGATCTCTGCTCACTGCAAGCTCCACCTCCTGGGTTCACACCATTCTCCTGCCTCAGCCTCCCGAGTAGCTGGGACTACAGGCGCCCACCACCATGTCCAGCTAATTTTTGTATTTTTGGTAGAGATAGGGTTTCATCGTGTTAGCCAGGATGGTCTCAATCTCCTGACCTCGTGATCCGCCCGCCTCGGCCTCCCAAAGTGCTGGGATTACAGGCATGAGCCACCGCGCCTGGCCTTCGTGTTCCACTTCTAAAGAAAACCCTTATCTCTGGCCCTTGTTGCTATCAGCAGGTATAGGGAGAAGCAGGGGTAGGAAGGCAGAGGAGATTTCTTCTGTCCCAATTTTTGTAAGTATTCCCATGCCTTCTAAAAGAACATGGAATTGGTGGTTGTTGGGGATAGTATCTATACATGCCCATGATGTCAAATTTGTTAATTTGTTATTGAAATATTTTGTATCTTGATTTTGTTGTCTCCTTGTTCTATCAGTTTGATAGAAAGTTAGGGGGTTTTTGGGTTTTTTTTTTTTGTTATTGTTGTTGTTTGTTTTTCTGGAGGGAGTTTCGCTCTTGTTGCCCAGGCTGGAGTACAATGGCACAATCTTGGCTCACTGCAACCCTCCACCTCCCAGGTTCAAGCAATTCTCCTGCCTCAGCCTCATGAGTAGCTTGGATTATAGGCACCCATCATCACGCTCAGCTAATTTTTGTATTTTCAGTAGAGACAGGTTTTTGCCATGTTGGCCAGGCTGGTCTTGAACTCCCGACCTCAGGTGATGCGACCGCCTTGGCCTCCCAAAGGACTGGGATTACAGGCATGAGCCACTGCGCCCAGCCAGAAAGTTGTTTCAGTAGCTCCCACTGATCATGGATTTTACTATTTCTCCCATTTCAATTGCAGTTTTGTCCATTTTACCCGTCGTTAATTTTTATTTATTTATTTATTTGTTTGTTTATTTATTTATTTATTTTTGAGACCGAGTCTTGCTCTGTTGCCCAGGCTAGAGTGCCTGGCACATTCTCAGCTCACTGCACCCTCTGCCTCCTGGGTCAAGGGATTCTCCTGCCTCAGCCTCCCGAGTAGCTGGGATTACAGGCACCCGCCATCATGCCCAGCTAATTTTTGTATTTTTAGTAGAGACAGGGTTTCGCCATGTTGGCCAGGCAGGTCTTGAACTCCTGACCTCAGGTGATCCACCTGCCTTGGCCTCCCAAAGTGCTGACATTACAGGCGTGAGCCACTGCATCTGGCCCCTTTTTACCCTTCTTTTAAAGAAGGAGCTTTTCACTATTTTGAAACCACATTGAGAACACACACATTTCTAATTGTTATCTTCTTGGTGACATCATCCTTTTATCTTAATGAATTGACTGATTTTATTCCCAGAAATAACTTGTCTTGCAAATTTCCCCCAATGTTAGTCCAGTATAGCTACATCAGCTTGCTTTCAGTTAAAGGTTGCATGATATAACTTCTCCTTTACTTTCAAATTTTCTGTATCGTATGTGCTGTATTTGAGCTTTGTAGACTATCAGTTTTAATATAGCTTAACATTTTAATTCTTTAATTGGACTATTTAGTTCATTATATCTAATGCCATCCCTGCGGCCAGCACCCTCTGGCTGCCTTCTGTGCTCTCCGTTCCTCCTGACTGTTCTGTGTTCTTTCTCCGCTTCTTTCTCCCCTTCCTTTGGATTGGCTGCTTTTTTCCCCATTCCATTTTAACCTTCTGTTAGTTTTGAAGCCACGTACTGTTTTTATTTCATTGTGGATGAATAAAGAATAATTTATAGAAAAATGAAATAAAGAAGTAAACATATATAAAATGCATACCCAATTTTTAAAAATAGTTTTGAGGTATAATTGACATCTAATAAACTGCACATATTTGGGTGTATACATTGACAAATTTTGAAACATGTATACAAGTGGGAAACCATCATCACAATCAAGACAGGGAACCGGCCAGGCATGGTGACTCAACGCCTGTAATCCCACCACTTTGGGAGGCCGAGGCAGGTGGATCACTTGAGGCCAGGAGTTCGAGACCAGCTTGGCCAACATGGTGAAACCTCATGTCTACTAAAAATACAAAAATTAGCCGGGTGTGGTGGCACGTGCCTGTAATCCCAGCTACTCAGGAGGCTGAGGCAGGGAGAACTGCTTGAACCCGGGAGATGGAACTTGCAGTGAGCTGAGATCGCACCACTGCACTCCAGCCTGGACGACAGAGCAAGACTCTGTCTCAAAAAAAAGAAAGAGAACCTATCCATCGCCCCCAAAATTGCCTTCTGCTCCTTTGTAATCTTGCCTTCACTCCTGTCCCCAGGCAGCTACCGGTGTCTCATTTGAGTTTCATAAAATGAAATTAAACACTATCTACTCTCTGCTTTCAGTCAGCATAATTTTTTAGATTCATATGTGTTATTGAGTACATCAATAGTTCATCCCCTTTTATGACTGAGTAGTAGTCCATTGTACAGATATATTTACTTTGTTTATTTACCAGTTGATGGACATGTCTTTTCATGCCCTTATTTGTCATGTATATGTGTATATATGGTGAGGCATCTGTGAAACCTTGCCGAATTTGTATTAGGTTTTTTATTTTCTTATGTAGTTTGGAGAGTATATTATGAGTAATTTACCAAAAATATGCTTTGCAAATATTTTCTCCCAGTTCGTGGCTTGTATTCTTATTCTCTTTTTATTCTCTTAACAGTGTCTTCTGAAGAGCAGAAGTTTTTAATTTTACTAGAGTTCAGTTTATCAATTTGTTCTATTATGGACTGTGTGTTTCCTATTGTATCTAAGAAATCTTCACTCAACCTAAGGTCACAAAGATTTTCTTCTATGTTTTGTTCTCGAAGTTTTATATTCCTAGGTTTTACATTTCTGTCTATATTTTGAGTTAATTTTTGTATAAAAAGTGAAGTTTGGATACACGTTGATCTTTTTGCATCTTGATATCCAAACATGGCAGCGCCGTGTGTTGAAATTTCCCCACGAAATTGCTGAAGGCCGTGAAGATTTCCTTTTTTTTTTTCTAAAAGTATAACAGTATTAGCTCTTATGTTTAGGCCAATGGTCCATCTTGATTTAATTTTTATGTATGGTGTGACATGAAGGTCTAAATTCATCTTTTTGCATGTAGATATCCTGTTGTCATTTTGTTGCATAATTTTTTAAGGCATTTTTTTTATTATACTTTAAGTTTTAGGGTACATGTGCACAATGTGCAGGTTAGTTACATATGTATACACGTGCCATGCTGGTGCGCTGCACCCACTTACTCGTCATCTCACATTAGGTATATCTCCCAATGCCATCCCTCCCCCCTCCCCCCACCCCACAACAGTCCCCAGAGTGTGATGTTCCCCTTCCTGTGCCCATGTGTTCTCATTGTTCAATTCCCACCTATGAGTGAGAATATGCGGTGTTTGGTTTTTTGTTCTTGCGATAGTTTACTGAGAATGATGATTTCCAATTTCATCCATGTCCCTACAAAGGACATGAACTCATCATTTTTTATGGCTGCATAGTATTCCATGGTGTATATGTGCCACATTTTCTTAATCCAGTCTATTGTTGGACATTTGGGTTGGTTCCAAGTTTTTGCTATTGTGAATAATGCTGCAATAAACATACGTGTGCATGTGTCTTTATAGCAGCATGATTTATAGTCCTTTGGGTATATACCCAGTAATGGGATGGCTGGGTCAAATGGTATTTCTAGTTCTAGATCCCTGAGGAATCGCCACACTGACTTCCACAATGGTTGAACTAGTTTACAGTCCCACCAACAGTGTAAAAGTGTTCCTGTTTCTCCACATCCTCTCCAGCACCTGTCGTTTCCTGACTTTTTAATGATTGCCATTCTAACTGGTGTGAGATGGTATCTCATTGTGGTTTTGATTTGCATTTCTCTGATGGCCAGTGATGGTGAGCATTTTTTCATGTGTTTTTTGGCTGCATAAATGTCTTCTTTTGAGAAGTGTCTGTTCATGTCCTTCGCCCACTTTTTGATGGGGTTGTTTTTTTCTTGTAAATTTGTTTGAGTTCATTGTAGATTCTGGATATTAGCCCTTTGTCAGATGAGTAGGTTGCGAAAATTTTCTCCCATTTTGTAGGTTGCCTGTTCACTCTGATGGTAGTTTGTTTTGCTGTGCAGAAGCTCTTTAGTTTAATTAGATCCCACTTGTCAATTTTGGCTTTTGTTGCCATTGCTTTTGGTGTTTTAGACATGAAGTCCTTGCCCATGCCTATGTCCTGAATGGTAATGCCTAGGTTTTCTTCTAGGGTTTTTATGGTTTTAGGTCTAATGTTTAAGTCTTTAATCCATCTTGAATTGATTTTTATATAAGGTGTAAGGAAGGGATCCAGTTTCAGCTTTCTACATATGGCTAGCCAGTTTTCCCAGCACCATTTATTAAATAGGGAATCCTTTCCCCATTGCTTTCCTCAAGTTTGTCAAAGATCAAATAGTTGTAGATATGCGGCGTTAATTCTGAGGGCTCTGTTCTGTTCCATTGATCTATATCTCTGTTTTGGTACCAGTACCATGCTGTTTTGGTTACTGTAGCCTTGTAGTATAGTTTGAAGTCAGGTAGTGTGATGCCTCCAGCTTTGTTCTTTTGGCTTAGGATTGACTTGGCGATGCGGGCTCTTTTTTGGTTCCATATGAACTTTAAAGTAGTTTTTTTCAATTCTGTGAAGAAAGTCATTGGTAGCTTGATGCGGATGGCACTGAATCTGTAAATTAGCTTGGGCAGTATGGCCATTTTCACGATATTGATTTTTCCTACCCATGAGCATGGAATGTTCTTCCATTTGTTTGTATCCTCTTTTATTTCCTTGAGCAGTGGTTTGTAGTTCTCCTTGAAGAGGTCCTTCACATCCCTTGTAAGTTGGATTCCTAGGTATTTTATTCTCTTTGAAGCAATTGTGAATGGGAGTTCACTCATGATTTGGCTCTCTGTTTGTCTGTTATTGGTGTATAAGAATGGTTGTGATTTTTGTACACTGATTTTGTATCCTGAGACTTTGCTGAAGTTGCTTATCAGCTTAAGGAGATTTTGGGCTGAAACAGTGGGGTTTTCTAGATATACAATCATGTCGTCTGCAAACAGGGACAATTTGACTTCCTCTTTTCCTAATTGAATACCCTTTATTTCCTTCTCCTGCCTAATTGCCCTGGCCAGAACTTCCAACACTATGTTGAAGAGGAGTGGTGAGAGAGGACATCCCTGTCTTGTGCCAGTTTTCAAAGGGAATGCTTCCAGTTTTTGCCCATTCAGTATGATATTGGCTGTGGGTTTGTCATAGATAGCTCTTATTATTTTGAAATACGTCCCATCAATACCTAATTTATTGAGAGTTTTTAGCATGAAGGGTTGCTGAATTTTGTCAAAGGCCTTTTCTGCATCTATTGAGATAATCATGTGGTTTTTGTCTTTGGTTCTGTTTATATGCTGGATTACATTTATTGATTTGTGTATATTGAACCAGCCTTGCATCCCAGGGATGAAGCCCACTTGATCATGGTGGATAAGCTTTTTGATGTGCTGCTGGATTCGGTTTGCCAGTATTTTATTGAGGATTTTTGCATCAATGTTCATCAAGGATATTGGTCTAAAATTCTCTTTTTTGGTTATGTCTCTGCCCGGCTTTGGTATCAGGATGATGCTGGCCTCATAAAATGAGTTAGGGAGGATTCCCTCTTTTTCTATTGATTGGAATAGTTTAAGAAGGAATGGTACCAGTTCCTCCTTGTACCTCTGGTAGAATTTGGCTGTGAATCCATCTGGTCCTGGACTCTTTTTGGTTGGTAAGCTATTGATTATTGCCACAATTTCAGAGCCTGTTATTGGTCTATTCAGAGATTCAACTTCTTCCTGGTTTAGTCTTGGGAGGGTGTATGTGTCAAGGAATTTATCCATTTCTTCTAGATTTTCTAGTTTATTTGCATAGAAGTGTTTGTAGTATTCTCTGATGGTAGTTTGTATTTCTGTGGGATCGGTGGTGATATCCCCTTTATCATTTTTTATTGCGTCTATTTGATTCTTCTCTCTTTTTTTCTTTATTAGTCTTGCTAGCGGTCTATCAATTTTGTTGATCCTTTCAAAAAACCAGCTCCTGGATTTATTAATTTTTTGAAGGGTTTTTTGTGTCTCTATTTCCTTCAGTTCTGCTCTGATTTTAGTTATTTCTTGCCTTCTGCTAGCTTTTGAATGTGTTTGCTCTTGCTTTTCTAGTTCTTTTAATTGTGATGTTAGGGTGTCAATTTTGGATCTTTCCTGCTTTCTCTTGTGGGCATTTAGTGCTATAAATTTCCCTCTACACACTGCTTTGAATGCGTCCCAGAGATTCTGGTATGTTGTGTCTTTGTTCTTGTTGGTTTCAAAGAACATCTTTATTTCTGCCTTCATTTCTTTATGTACCCAGTAGTCATTCAGGAGCAGGTTGTTCAGTTTCCATGTAGTTGAGCGGTTTTGAGTGAGATTCTTAATCCTGAGTTCTAGTTTGATGGCACTGTGGTCTGAGAGATAGTTTGTCATAATTTCTGTTCTTTTACATTTGCTGAGGAGAGCTTTACTTCCAAGTATGTGGTCAATTTTGGAATAGGTGTGGTGTGGTGCTGAAAAAAATGTATATTCTGTTGATTTGGGGTGGAGAGTTCTGTAGATGTCTATTAGGTCTTGGTGCAGAGCTGAATTCAATTCCTGGGTATCCTTGTTGACTTTCTGTCTCGTTGATCTGTCTAATGTTGACAGTGGGGTGTTAAAGTCTCCCATTATTAATGTGTGGGAGTCTAAGTCTCTTTGTAGGTCACTCAGGACTTGTTTTATGAATCTGGGTGCTCCTGTATTAGGTGCATATATATTTAGGAGAGTTAGCTCTTCTTGTTGAATTGATCCCTTTACCATTATGTAATGGCCTTCTTTGTCTCTTTTGATCTTTGTTGGTTTAAAGTCTGTTTTATCAGAGACTAGGATTGCAATCCCTGCCTTTTTTTGTTTTCCATTTGCTTGGTAGATCTTCCTCCATCCTTTTATTTTAAGCCTATGTGTGTCTCTGCACGTGAGATGGGTTTCCTGAATACAGCACACTGATGGGTCTTGACTCTTTATCCAATTTGCCAGTCTGTGTCTTTTAATTGGAGCATTTAGTCCATTTACATTTAAAGTTAATATTGTTATGTGTGAATTTGATCCTGTCATTATGATGTTAGCTGGTTATTTTGCTCGTTAGTTGATGCAGTTTCTCCTTAGTCTCGATGGTCTTTACATTTTGGCATGATTTTTCAGCGGCTGGTACCGGTTGTTCCTTTCCATGTTTAGCGCTTCCTTCAGGAGCTCTTTTAGGGCAGGTCTGGTGGTGACAAAATCTCTCAGCATTTGCTTGTCTGTAAAGTATTTTATTTCTCCTTCACTTATGAAGCTCAGTTTGGCTGGATATGAAATTCTGGGTTGAAAATTCTTTTCTTTAAGAATGTTGAATATTGACCCCCCACTCTCTTCTGGCTTGTAGAGTTTCTGCTGAGAGATCCGCTGTTAGTCTGATGGGCTTCCCTTTGAGGGTAACCCGACCTTTCTCTCTGGCTGCCCTGAACATTTTTTCCTTCATTTCAACTTTGGTGAATCTGACAATTATGTGTCTTGGAGTTGCTCTTCTCGAGGAGTATCTTTGTGGCGTTCTCTGTATTTCCTGAATCTGAATGTTGGCCTGCCTTACTAGATTGGGGAAGTTGTCCTGGATAATATCCTGCAGAGTGTTTTCCAACTTGGTTCCATTCTCCCCTTCACTTTCAGGTACACCAATCAGACGTAGATTTGGTCTTTTCACATAGTCCCATATTTCTTGGAGGCTTTGCTCGTTTCTTTTTATTCTTTTTTCTCTAAACTTCCCTTCTCGCTTCATTTCATTCATTTCATCTTCCATCGCTGATACCCTTTCTTCCAGTTGATCGCATCGGCTCCTGAGGCTTCTGCATTCTTCACATAGTTCTCGAGCCTTGGTTTTCAGCTCCATCAGCTCCTTTAAGCACTTCTCTGTATTGGTTATTCTAGTTATACATTCTTCTAAATTTTTTTCAAAGTTTTCAACTTCTTTGCCTTTGGTTTGAATGTCCTCCTATAGCTCGGAGTAATTTGATCGTCTGAAGCCTTCTTCTCTCAGCTCGTCAAAGTCATTCTCCGTCCAGCTTTGTTCCGTTGCTGGTGAGGAACTGCATTCCTTTGGAGGAGGAGAGGCGCTCTGCTTTTTAGAGTTTCCAGTTTTTCTGTTCTGTTTTTTCCCCATCTTTGTGGTTTTATTTACTTTTGGTCTTTGATGATGGTGTTGTACAGATGGGTTTTTGGTGTGGATGTCCTTTCTGTTTGTTAGTTTTCCTTCTAACAGACAGGACCCTCAGCTGCAGGTCTGTTGGAGTACCCGGCCGTGTGAGGTGTTAGTCTGCCCCTGCTGGGGGGTGCCTCCCAGTTAGGCTGCTCGGGGGTCAGGGGTCAGGGACCCACTGGAGGAGGCAGTCTGCCCATTCTCAGATCTCCAGCTGTGTGCTGGGAGAACCACTGCTCTCTTCAAAGCTGTCAGACAGGGACATTTAAGTCTGCAGAGGTTACTGCTGTCTTTTTGTTTGTCTGTGCCCTGCCCCCAGAGGTGGAGCCTACAGAGGCAGGCAGGCCTCCTTGAGCTGTGGTGGGCTCCACCCAGTTCGAGCTTCCGGGCTGCTTTGTTTACTTAAGCAAGCCTGGGCAATGGCGGGCGCCCCTCCCCCAGCCTCGCTGCCGCTTGCAGTTTGATCTCAGACTGCTGTGCTAGCAATCAGTGAGACTCCGTGGGCGTAGGACCCTCCGAGCCAGGTGCGGGATATAATCTTCTGGTGCGCCATTTTTTCAGCCCGTCGGAAAAGCGCAGTATTCGGGTGGGAGTGACCCGATTTTCCAGGTGCCGTCTGTCACCCCTTTCTTTGACTAGGAAAGGGAACTCCCTGACCCCTTGCGCTTCCCGAGTCAGGCAATGCCTCGCCCTGCTTTGACTGGCGCACGGTGCGCGCACCCACTGACCTGCGCCCACTGTCTGGCACTCCCTAGTGAGATGAACCCGTACCTCAGATGGAAATGCAGAAATCACCCTTCTTCTGCGTCACCCACGCTGGGAGCTGTAGACCGGAGCTGTTCCTATTCGGCCATCTTGGCTCCTCCGCATAATTTCTTGAAAACAAACATCATTTGTTGAAAAGGCTGTCTTTTCCCTACAAAATTTCCTTGGTATGTTGATAAAAATCAAGTGATCACAAATGAAGAATTTTTTTTATCAATTCTGCTCCATTGACCTACATCTTTCCTTGCATTAGTGTCACAACTGTCTTGATTACTATAACTTTTAGTAAGCTTTGAAATCAGGGAGTATGAAGTCCTTTAACTTCGTTATTTTTCAAAATTGTTTTGCCTCTTCGGAGTCTTTTGCACTTCCATGTAAGTATTTAAGTCATCTTGTCAATTCTGCAAGAAGGCCTACTGGCATGTGAAAAAGTCACATTGAATTTATTAGATCAGTCAGGGAACAACTGATACCTAACAATATTGTGTCTTTCAGTCTATGAACATGAAATGTCTTTCGATTTATTTAGATTTTCTTTAATATCTCTCAGGCAGTGTTTTGTAGTTTTCAACGTACATGTCTTACACATTTTTGTTAAGTTTATTCCTAAGCATTTTATTCTCTTTGATGGACTAGTTTTATTAATTTCATTTTCATGTTGTTCATTGCTAGTATAGTGAAGTACAGTTGCTTTTTGTGTCTTAATCCTGGGTCCTCAAATGTTCTCAACATGTTTATTAGTTCTAGTAGCTGGGTTTTTTTTTTCTATGGATTCCTCAGTATTTTCTTTTCTTTTCTTTTTGAGACAGGGTCTCACTCTGTTGCCTAGGCTGAAATGCAGTGGCATAATCACAGCTCACTGCAGCCTCGACCTCCTGGACACAAGCAATCCTCCCTCCCCAGCCTCCAAAGTAGCTGGGACTACAGGTGCATGCCACCATGCCTGGCTATTTTGGTTTTGTTTTGTTTTTGTAGACACAGGGTTTTGCTATGTTGCCCAGGTTGGTCTCAAACTCCTGGACTCAAGCGATCCTTCTACCTGGTCCTCCCA
The DNA here is from genome assembly GCF_000001405.40 of Homo sapiens. Taxonomy (NCBI): domain Eukaryota; kingdom Metazoa; phylum Chordata; class Mammalia; order Primates; family Hominidae; genus Homo; species Homo sapiens. The sequence goes on along the minus strand of NC_000005.10, from coordinate 179,100,119 downwards.
AAGTGCTGGTTCCACTGGCGTGAACCACTGTGCCCGTCCTGGTATTTTCTTCATATTTGTGAATAAATACAGTTTTATTTATCTTTTTTCAGTCTGGACTGCCTTCTTTTTTATTATTGGACTGGCTAGAACTTCCCTACAATGCTGACTAGAAATGGCAAGAGCAAACATGCTTGCCTTATTCCTCATCGTATAGGAAAAGCATGCAGTATTTCACCATTAAGTATGATGTTAGCTGTAAGCTTCTTAGAGATGCACTTTATTAGACTGAGGAAGGTGCCTTCTATTCCTAATTTATTGAGAGTTTTTTTTTTATCATGAATGGGTATTGGATTTTATTGAATATCTTTTTTGTATCTAATGAGATAATCACATAAATTTTGTCCTTTCTCCTATTAATATTGTCTATTATATTAATTGATTTTCAAATGTTAAATCAACCTTGCATTCCACAGATACATCCCACTTGGTCATGGTATATAATTCTTTTTCTCTGTTCCTGAAGTTGTTTCGCTAATCTTTTGTTAAGGGCATTTGTACCTCTATTCTGTAGTTTTCTCATGATGTCTTTGGCTTTGGTTTCAGGGTAATACTGGCCTCATAGAATAAATTGGGAAGTGGTTCTTCCTATTCCTTCTACTGGAAGAGTTTGTGAAGAATTGATATTACCTCTGTCTTAAATGTTTGATAGACCACCAGTGAACACCTCTGGCCCAGGCTTTTCTTTGTGGCCAGATTTTATATTATGAATTCAGTTTTTTGTGGGTTTTTTTTTGCTTATTATAAGTCTATTAAGATTTTATATTTCTTCTTCTTGAATCACTTTTGGTAGTTTGTGTCTTTCTAGAAATTTCTGTTTCATTTGAGTTATCTGATTTGTTGCCATACAATTATTCCTGGTATTCCCTTATAATCCTTTCAACTGTTGTAGGGTCAGTAATGACATCCCCATATTCACTCGTTATTTATGCATTTGTGTTTTTTTACCTTTTTTCTTTTTTTTTTTTTTTTGAGATGGAGTCTCGCTCTGTCGCCCAGGCCGGACTGCGGACTGCAGTGGCGCAATCTCGGCTCACTGCAAGCTCTGCTTCCCGGGTTCACGCCATTCTCCTGCCTCAGCCTCCCGAGTAGCTGGGACTACAGGCGCCTGCCACCGCGCCCGGCTAATTTTTTGTATTTTTAGTAGAGACGGGGTTTCACCTTGTTAGCCAGGATGGTCTCGATCTCCTGACCTCGTGATCCACCCGCCTCGGCCTCCCAAAGTGCTGGGATTACAGGCGTGAGCCACCGCGCCCGGCCTTTACCTTTTTTCTTACGTTAGCTAAAGGTTTTTCAATCTTGCTGGTCTTTTCAAAGAAGCAACTTTTTGTTTCACTGATTTTTCTCTCCTGTTTTTCTATTTTCTACTGCACTGATTTTCATTTGAATCCTTAATATATTCTTCTTCTTGCTTTGGGTTAGTTTGCTCTTCTACTCGTGGATTAAAAATTGTTTTTAATTTTCAAAATACTTGGGTATGTCCCAATTTTATTTATTTATTTATTTTTTTGACAGAGTCTCACTCTGTTGCCCAGGTTGGAGTGCAGTGGTGCAATCTCGACTCATTGCAACGTCTGCCTCCCAAGTTCAAGCGATTCTCCTGCCTTAGCCTCCCAAGTAGCTGGGATTGCAGGTGTGTGCCACCACACCCAGCTAATTTTTATATTTTTAGAGATGGCGTTTCACCATGTTGGCCAGGCTGGTCTCGAATGCCTGACCTCAAGTAAGTCACCTGCCTCAGCCTCCCAAAGTGCTGGGATTACAGGCGTGAGCCACTGTGCCTGGGCCCGTTTTATTCCTGTGTTTGATTTACTATCATTGTGGCCAGAAAAACATACTTTGTGTTATTTCAATCCTTTTAAATGTATTGAGACTTTGTAAATGGTCTGGTATGTGGTTTGTATGTGTTGAAAATAATGCGTAGTCTGCTGTTGTTGGCTAAAGTGCTCTGGGGGTGTCAGTTAGGTCAAGTTGGTTCATATGATTGTTTAAGTTTTCTAGTGGCTATGGCTCGCCTCTCTGAATTCCAATCCCCTCCTCACCTTTCAGCCATTTTTTTTTTCTTGCTCAGCCGTTTGCCTTTTTAGCTGTTTTCAGCAGGATATTTGGCCTAAATTATCAAATCAGAAATTTCTGGAACCTATATTTCAACTTTTAATATAAAATTGTCTATTTCTAACAATTGGAATTAGACTAAGTGCCATTTCCAATAATGTGTGACAAACCCGTAACACAAAGTTTTAGTGGTGAAAGAGAATAGGCATTTAAATTCCTAGCAAAGTTCCCAAATGTGGCAGTTTCTTCCTTATTTCTAAAGCAATTTAAACTACAGTGTTTCTAATATATATCACCATAATTCTGTATATACAGGGCTTTTGATTTTCAGGCAAAAAAAAATTACTGGATAGACAAGGGTCATGAAATAAATATTATAAAGATATCAAAGTTCAATTAACCTGGTTAATATATCAAAAGTTGTCATAACCTCAAGGAGAAATTGACAAAGCCTCCATCCTAGGGAAAAAGTTTAACATGTCTCTCAGTAATTGATAGCTCAGCAGAAAAAATAATAATATATAATTTGAATAATACAACAAACAAGCTTGATCTAAGGAAAACACATATATCTCTGAGCCTCCAACAATTGAACAACTCACATTCTTTTCAAACACATACAAAATATTTATGACAACTGACAACATATTGGACAATTAAAGAATAATAATAAATTGAAATGATTTTTTACTTAATGTAACTTAACTACAAAATTAAATTAGAAATCAATATTTTAAAATTTAGCTAAAATATATTTTTGAAATTTAAAAATCATACCTCTAAATAAATCACAGGTCAAAAAAACATTGAAAATTAGAAAATTCTGGTCACCAAGATGGCAGAATAGAAGGTAACCTGCTCACATCTCCCCACAACAACAAGAATTCTGCGCCTATCCAGAATCAAAAGTCTCTCTGCCTCAGGATTCAGATAGGAGTTTGTGAAATATTGGTGGAGCCCAAGATCTTGGAGGATTATTTTGAGAGTGCAGACTAACACCAGTTGGCTGATCCACCAATCTTGTTCCTGGGTTCAAGCCCAGAAATGGCCCAGTCCCCCAAGGGGCTTTGGCTACCGTACTGTTTGACTTTGAACCTGCAACCAAAACCATCTGTTAAAGGATCCAGAAGGAATTGTGTACCCTAGTGCCTTGGTGGAAAGGCATCTGCCTCGTCACCTCCATCTTAGAAGTAAACCTCAAAGTTGCCTTGTGGCTCAGCTCCAGTCCCCATCACTCCCATGTAGGTCCTAGCTCAGAGTTGCTCACACAAGAACCCAGAGGGAGACTCACTCATACCTCAATCCCAGGAGTCTGAGCCTCCCTGACAGGCTTGCCAATCTTATCCCACAACAGATCCTGAGGGGAACCAGTCTCAGCTCCAGCCCCTCCCACTGCAATCAGAGAACTATCTCATCTGTTCCAAGATCTGCTGGGAGATGCTCACCTATCTGGGCCAACATAATGGGCTCTCCAGCCTTTGTCCCACAGCAGATTCCAAGGGGACCCAGTCTCAACTCCAGCTCCTCTTGCTGCAGTAAGGAACCCATTCCACCTATGCAAAGACCTGCTAGGAGTCACACCCATCTGAGCCTACGGTACAGTCTTCTAGACTCAGATCTGCGAGGAGGCACACCCATCTGAGCCTACAGTACAGTCTTCTAGACCCAGGTCCCTGGCTAGCATTCCCACACAGCCCCAGTATATCCATTCCTTGGGTCTTCCCCAGGTCCATCTGGGACTCAAAACCTCAAAGTCCTCATGAGACTCACAGCAAGCCTGGGCATAGAGCATCTTCCAGTGCTGAGATGGGTACAGTGGTCACAGGCTCAGGGAACTCAATAGTGGGCTTAGAATCCCTGGAAGGCCCTCTGAAGAAAGGCAGGCACAAATGAGGCCAGACTGTGAAGACTAAAATAAATCTTCAGTCCCTAAATGCACAGACATTGTTGCACATCCACAAGCTCAAAAACATTCAAGGAAATATGACCTAACCAAACAGAGAAAACAAGGTGCCAGAGGCAGACCAAAGTGACGGAGATGTTTAATGTCTCAGATGAAGAATTCCAGGCTGGGCGCAGTGGCTCACACCTGTAACCCCAGTACTTTGGGAGGCCGAGGTGGGCAGATCACGAGGTCAGGAGATCGAGACCATCCTAGCCAACATGGTGAAACCCCATCTCTACTAAAAATACAAAAATTGGCCGGGTGTGGTGGTGCACGTCTGTAGTCCCAGCTACTCGGGAGGCTGAGGCAGAAGAATCACTTGAACCCAGGAGGCGGGGGCTGCAGTGAGCCGAGATAGCCCCACTATACTCCATGCACTCCAGCCTGGGTGACAGAGGTGAGACTCTTGTCTCAAAAAAAAAAAAAAAAAAAAGAATTCCAAATAGCTGTTCTAAATAGCTCAACAAACTTTAGGAAAACACATAGGATTAATTCAGAAATGTACCAGCAAATTTAACAGAAAGATTAAAACAAAAATTTTTTTAAATGTGAAATCAGCCAGGCACAGTGGCTCATGCCTGAAATCCCAGCACTTTGGGAGGCCAAGGCTGGTGGATCACTTGCGGTCAGGAGTTCAAGACCAACGTGGATAACATGGTGAAACTCTGTCTCTACTAAATACATGAATATTAGCCAGGCATGGTGGCGCACACCTATAATCCCAGCTACTCAGGCGGCAGAGGCAGGAGAATCGCTTCAACTCAGGAGGTGCAGGTTGCAATGAACCAAGATCATGCCATTGGATTCCAGCCTGGGCAACAGAGCAAGACTCCATCTCAAAAAAGAAAAAAATAGTGAAATCCTGGAGTTGAAAAATACTATGAAAATTTCAATAGAGAACATCAACAGCAGAACTGATCAAACATAGGAAAGAATCAGTGAGCTCAAAGACAGACTATTTGAAAATACATGGAAGAGAGAAAGAAAACATAATGAAAAGGAATAAAGAAAGCTTAGGGGATCTATAAGACAACATCAAACCAGCAAATATTCAGATTATTGGACTTAAAGAGGGAACTGAGGAAGAAATATAGGTAGAAAGCTTATTTAAAGAAATAATAATAGAAAACTTTCCAAACTTGGAGAAAGATACAAATATCCAGGTACAGGAAGACCAAAGGTTAGCAATCAGATTCAACCCAAATAAGAATTCTCCAAGACATATAAACTCTCAAAGGTCCAACATAGAGAGGGGATTCTAAAAGTAGCTAGAGAAAAGAAGCAAATAACATGTAAGAGAGATCAAATATTCCTAGCAGAAGACTTCGCAGTAGAAACTTTACAGGCCAGGATGGAGTAGGAAGATATATTTCCAGTCTGAAGGGGGAAAAAAATCTGCCAAGCAAGAATTCTATACCCAGAAAAGCTATCTTTCAGAAATGAAGGAGCAATAAAGACTTTCCCAGACAAACAAAAGCTGGGGCAATTGATTGCTACTAGATTGGACCTATAAAAAAATGCTAAAGGGATTCTTCAAACCAAAAGAAAAGGACATTAACATGATTGTTATACTAATGTAATAATCATGATATGTAAACTACTTATATATTTACTAAGAAGACTAAAAGACAAAACTATTTAAAATAACTACAATTTGTTAAGAGATAGGCAATATAAAATGCAAATTGTGACATCAAAAATTCAAAATGGGGGAAGAGAGTTAATGTGTACAGGTTTTTTCTTTGTTTCTTTCCTTTTTGTATGATCAGAGATAAGTTGGTATCTATTTAAAATAACTTGTTATATCTATAAGATGTTTTCTGTAAGCCACACAGGGGAAAAACTGAAATCCTTTCCACTAAGATATGGAATAAGACAAGGATGCCCACTTTCACCATTTTTATTCAATATAGTACTGGAAATTATAGCCAGAGGAATTAGGCAAGAGAAAGAAATACAGGGCATCCAAATTAGAAAGGAAGGAGTCAAATTACCCTTGTTTGCAGATGACGTGATTTTATATTTTTAAAAACTTGAAGACTCCACCAAAAAACTCTTAGAACTTATGTAAGAACTCAGTAAAGTTGCAGGGTACAAAATTAACATACAAACATCAGTAGTGTTTATATATGCTACAGCAATCTGAAAAAAAAATCAAGAAAGCAATCCCACTTACAATGGCTACAAAAAATAAAATACCTAGGAATAAATTTAACCAAACAAGTGACAGATCTCTACAAGAAAAACTATAAAACACTGATGAAAGAAACCAAAGAGGACACGAAAAAATGGAAAGATATTTCATGCTCATAGATTGGAAGAATTAACATTGTTAAAATGTCTATACTACTCAAAGCAACCACAGATATAGTCCCTATCAAAATACCAAGTACATTCTCCACAGAAACAAAAAAAGCAATTCTAAAATTTATATGGAACCACAAAAGACCCTGAATAGCTAAGACAATCCTGAGCAAGAAGAACAAAGCTGGAGGCATCACACTAGTTGATTTCAAATTATACTACAAAGCAATAGTAAACAAAACAGCATGGTACTGGCATGGTACTGACATAAAAACAGATACATAGACCAGTGGAACAGAATAGAGAACCCAGAAATAAATCCACACATCTACAGCCAACTGCTTTTCAGTTAAGAAGCCAAGAACACACATTGTGGAAAGGACAGTCTCTTTAATAGATGGTGCTGGGAAAACTGGATATCCACACATAGAAGAATAAAACTAGATCCTCATATTTCACCATATATAAAAATCAACTCAAAATGGATTAAAGATTTAAACATAAGACCTAAAACTATGAAACAACTAAAATAAAACACTGAGAAAGCATTATAGGACATTGGTCTGGGCAAAGATTTTTTGGGTAAGACTTCAACATCATAGGCAACTGGCTGAGCATTGTGGCTCATGCCTAGAATCCCAGCACTTTGGGAGGCCAAGGTGGGTGGATCTCTTGAAGTCAGGAGTTCGAGACTGGCCTGGCCAACATGGTGATATCCTGTCTCTACTAAAAATACAAAAATTAGCCGGATGTTGTGGTGGGTGCCTGTAATCCCAGCTACTTGGGAGGTTGAGGAAGGAGAGTTGCTTAAACCTGGGAGGGAGAGGTGGCAGTGAGCCGAGATTGCACCACTGCACTCCAGCCTGGGCGACAGAGTGAGACTCTGTCTCAAAAAAAAAATAAAAAATAAAAAATACATAGGCAAGCAAAACAAAAATGGAATTACATCAATCTAAAAAACTTCTGCACAGCAAAGGAAATAATTAATAAAGTGAAGAGACCTACAGAATGGGAGAAAATATTTGCAAACTCTCCATCAGACAAAGGATTAATAACAAGAATAATAAAAAATACAAACAACTCAAAAAAAGAAACAATCTGACTTAATGATGGAAAAATGCCATCACAAAGAAGATGAGGGACAAATTAAATTAAATTAAATTTTAAAAATGGACGAAAGACCTGAATAGAAATTTCTCAAAAGACATACAAATGGCCAACAGGTATATGAAAAAATGTTCAACATCACTAATCATCAGGGAAATGCAAACCAAAAGCACGTGAGATATCATCTCATTCCAGTTAGAATGCTATCAAGAAGACAGAAAAAAAAGTTCTAGTGAAGATGCAGAAAGAGGGGAATGCTCGTATACTGTTGGTAGGAATGTAAAGTAGTACAGCCATTATGGAAAACGGTATGGAGGTTCCTCAAAAAAACTAAAAATGGAACTACCATATGCTCCAGCAATCCCACTGCTGATATGTATCCAAAAGAAAGGAAATCTCTATAGGGAAGAGATATCAGCATGCCCATGTTTATTGCAACACTATTCATAATAGCCAAGATACGGAATCAACCTAATCTAATGGATGAACAGGTAAAGAAAGTATGGTACATATACACAATGGGATATTATTCAGCCATAAAAAACAAAATTTTATCATTTCCATCAATATGTATGGAACTGGAGGTCACTATGTTAAGTAAAATAAGCCAGGCACAGAAAGACAAGTATCACATTCTCACTCATATGTGGGAACTAAAAAAGTGGATCTCATGGAAGTATAGATTAGAATGGTGGTTACCAGATGCTGGGAAGGGAAGTGGGTAGGAGAAGATGAAGAGAAGCTGGTTAAGGGCATAAAAATACAGTTAAATAGATGGAATAAATTCTAGTATTCAAATGGTACAGCAGGAAAATTATTGTTAACAGTAACGTGTTGTACATTTCAAAATAGGAAGAGAAGAATTGTGATATTTCCAACACAAAGAAAAGGTAAGTGTTTGAGGTGATGGATGTCCTAATTTCCCTGATTTGATCATTGCACATTATATATAGGTATCAAAATACCACATGTAGCCCCAAAATATGTATAGTTATTACATACCAATTAAAAATTGTGAAATAAGAATAAATAAGTGTATTATTAAAGAAAAATGAAATCGAAAACAAAAAGCATGCCCGATTTTTCCCAAACTTTTGTTATATGCAGGTATAAAATGATATTTCAACAAATATAAGCAAAGCAAGTAAAACATAGGAAAAATTAAAGACTTACAGATATATCACATTGATCACTGAAAGTGTGTTCACAGGTAAATTAACTTAGGGAAATGTTATTTCATAATTCTTTATCTGTTTGTAATTGTAATGAAATAAAATTTATGAAATTATATTCCTCATATTAAATGCTATATGCACAACCTGAACAAACTAAGCATATCACTAAACTTTTTAATGTGACCAAAACAAAACAGAAAATACTCCTAACCGAATATCATAGAGCAAAACTTGTGATTCAATCTGAGAAAGCTGACTGAAAAATAAAATAGTATGAAATTTACTCAGGAAAGTGCTTGGAAGTACTTATAATCTTGATACAAAAATTAGAAAAAAGGTTTGAAAATTAATTAATGAGCTATATAATAGAACAAAACCAAAGAAATTAGAAGGAAATAAAAAGCCAAGTTTATTAAGCATGGAATTTAATTATAAAAAAAACTTATAAAGGATTAACAAAGCCAAAAGTTGACTTAGTATTTACAAACTTCTGGTAATGTTGATGAAGAATAAAAGACAGATGCATACACAAAAACTTTGGAAATAAGGAACAGAACTGGCCAGGCGCGGTGGCTCACGCCTGTAATCCCAGCACTTTGGGAGGCTGAGGCGAGCGGATCACAAGGTCAGGAGATCGAGACCATCCTGGCTAACACGGTGAAACTCCGTCTCTACTAAAAATACAAAAAATTAGCCGGGCGTAGTGGCGGGCGCCTGTAGTCCCAGCTACTTGGGAGGCTGAGGCAGGAGAATGGCGTGAACCTGGGAGGCGGAGCTTGCAGTGAGCAGAGATCGCACCACTGCACTCCAGCCTGGGCGACAGAGCGAGACTCCGTCTCAAAAAAAAAAAAGAAAGAAAGAAAGAAGGAACAGAATTTAACTATTGAAAGAGTAGAAATCAGAAGGTTAATGAAAAAATAATATAAACAAATTCATGGAGTAGAAGTTAGAAGGTTAATGAAAAAAATAATATAAACAAGTTCATGCCAAAAAATGGAAATAAGATGAAAAAATTCTTAGAAAAATAAAATTTACACAAGAAGAACTAGAAAATCTGATAGAATTATAGTCATAAAAAGAAGAATCAAATTTGAAATTTAAAATATTTCCACAAAGAAAATACCAGGCTTAGAATGTTAGTAGACAAATGCTACCATTCATGAAGTAGATAATTCTGTTATATAAACTCTTCTAGTTAATAGTGGGGAAAGGAAGCACTTCTCAATTTATTCCATGATGTCATGACTCTAATGGCAAAATTAGATAAGGACCAGAAGGAAAACACAAAAAAAATGGCATGGATGCAAAATTCCTAACCCCAATATCAGTAGACTATATCCATTTGTGGATAAAAAGGTGAAGTGCCACACTAAGTTAGATTCCCAGAAATCAAGGAAGGTTTAATTTTAAACCTATTGGTTTCCATACAAGATGGTGAAATAGCATGAGTTTCTCTCTCCCCACATTAACTCTGGAGAACCTCCCAAAATGAGGTGGGATTATTGATATGATGAATCAATATAAATACTATGAGAATGCCTGAGAAAGCCGATTTGAACTGGTGCAAGTTGGCCTGTGGCAAAATATTTTGGGGTGTGTGTGTGTGTGTGTGTGTTGTGTCTTTTTGTTTTGTTTTTTTTACAAAACTCAGGTCTGGAGCAGCCAGACACTGCAATGAGAAGATGGCGTTGGAGAAGAGTTTATGGCTTATACATTTCTTCCTCCCACACATTGCTTTGGGATGATCTCTGTCTGCCACATTTACCCAGACATTATCAGCAAAAGCCCAGGCTAGATGACGTCAGCTGTATCTAACAGCATAGCCTTTAAGCCAATTACAAGGAGAAGTTGATGGAAAGAAGTGCAGACTAATCAGATATACCCTTCCACCACTTCCAAACCCTCAGCTAAGGAGAGAGGCTTCCAGCTCCAGCTTAGAAACATGTAGAGAGCTTGGAAGGCATCACTCACATCCTCACCACAAGCAAAAAGGTAAACAAACTGAAAACCAGCGATTCCTCTTAGATCCATCAGATAGCTGAGGTCACAGGACACACTGCCACCCTGAAAACTGGAGAAGTAGGTGGATACAGAGAATCACAGGCAAGACCAGCTTACCAGGAGCAGAAGCTTCTGGAGCCAGTAACTGGTAGGAACACTTACATGGTGACTGACACATTGTGGGAGGCAGATCATGGACTGGCTTGAGAGTAAGACTGGGGCCACAGTTTTATGGGGGTTTACCTCCAGGAACCCCACTGGGTTCTCAGTGAAATCAGAGAAAAATCCCTTTGTGCTTCTGGCAGGGGTAGGAGAAAAGTAACCATTTTGAAATATGCCTGGGGAAAGTTACCATTTTGAAATATGCCCAGGGTGTTCTCTGAAACAAAGGCTTGCCCTCAAGAGCAATACTTTACTAGAAATTTTTCTGACCTGGGAGAAACGCAATTAGACAGCTCCACCCTCTCACCGAGGAATGGAAAAAAAGCTAACAAATGCCTCTGAAGATCACACAGCGCAGGGACTGAAACCCATGAAAAACCTGAGATTTATTCGTAAGATTATGGATTATTATATACCTCCTCTCCTCAACACTGCACTATTATATCAGTAGGACTCCAGAAGAATGACAGTGGATTGCAACTAAGAGAGGTGCAGGACTCCCTTTAAGAAGCAATTCTTCTTAAACATACTCTACTTAAGAAGGAATTCTTAGGGATCCCAAAGACAATAGGAAAGCAATAAATAAAACAAAACACACACACACACACACACACGGAAACTAGAGGGAACTGATGCCTATGGCACCTGTAGCTACAGCAAACATTGAGCACAGCCTTGCTCCTAGAGATTCACATGAAAGCTCACAGTAAAAGTCTGATTACCTCAGTTCCTATTACCAGATACAGCATGCTCAGCTCTCAACAAAAAATTACACAACATGCTAAAAGGCAAGAAAAAATACAGTCTGAAGAGATAAAGCAAGCATCTGAATCAGACTCAGATATGACACAGATTTTGGAGTTGTCAGATGGCGAAGTTAAAATAACAATAATTAATATATTAAGGGCTCTAACTGAATACATAGACAATATGCAATAATTGATGGGTAATATAAAAAGAGAATGGAAACTCTAAAAAAGAAAAGAAAATGCTGGAAATGAAAAATGCTAACAAAATGAAGAATGCCTTTGGTGGGCTCATCAGTAGACCAGACAGAGCCAAGGGAAGAATCAGTGAGCCTGAAGATACGTCTGTAGAAACTGGAATGCAAAGGTGAAAAAGAATGGGAAAAAAACGAACAGCGCCTTCTTATGCACTCTTCTGTCTGCCTGCAACGAGTCCTGTTTCTCAACTGCCCCAAGATCTCTGCCTAATGATACTTACTCAAAAAAGCACACTCTAACCTCATACCATGCTCTGGAGTAGACACATATCTATTGAATGCTCTTATAATAGCCTGTAGTTTTCCTTAATAGCATTTATCAAAATTGTAATTTAAGGATTATTTCTGTATATGTACACTACCACCCATGACTGAGAAACTGTTACTAGACTAGCCTATCCAAGAGAAAGAAACCGTACATCTAGAAAAAAATATTTTTTTTCCAGATAATGGACAACGTGCAATACAGAACTCTAATCCTCAAGTGAAGGGAAACAAAAGGGAGCCCTCAATACTCCCGACTCATCTGGAGGCATTTTCAGACCAGTGACATTACTCATTTGAAGAGTTGAGAACATTGCGAGCAGTGTCAATAGTCAATACGGCAAATGATTTTAAGTGGTTTCCCTTGGCTCTGGACGAGGCAATGATGTGAGTGATACTACTCAGTTGTCGTGGATTTGATAGTTAATATCATTTGAAATTACTTAATAATTGACCTCTATAAATAGATTGTGTGGAACCAATCAAAAGCAAGAATATTTTTAAAGAAAATACTAATTTAGTAAACCCAAAGTGGAATCTGCAAAAATGTGTTCCAACTGCTGGTAGTAAAAATATGTAAATACGTAAAGAACTTTTTTTTTTTTTTTTTTTGAGACACAGTCTTACTCTGTCACCCAGGCTGGAGTGCAGTGGCGCGATCTCGGCTCACTGCAACATCCGCCTCCTGGGTTTAAGCGATTCTCGTGCCTCAGCTGCCTGAGTAGCTGGGATTACAGCACACGCCACCATGCCCAGCTAATTTTTGTATTTTTAGTAGAGATGGGGGTTTTGCCATGTTGGCCAGGCTGGTCTTGAACTCCTGACCTCAAGTGATCCACTAGCCTTGGCCTCCCAAAGTGCTGGGATTACAGGCGTGAGCCACTGTGCCTGGCCTAAAGAACTTTTTCCGAGGCTTAGTTAGAGAAGTTCACAAAGCTTGCAAAAGTTTAAGGTGTTTAAAACCTGTGGTTATTCTTCAGCAGGTAGTATGCAGGAAATATGTAAGTCTCTCTTGCTGAACAAGTAATGTCAAAAGTGAACTTCATTTGCTCTTATGGACTTTTGTTAGCTCTGTGACTTTTTTTTCCAGGAATAGAAGTCAAATATCCTGACTAGCTCTGCCACACAGCAGTTCAGTGACTTAACAGTAATAAAGTTTGCCTGCAATTTTTTAAGCTCAGGGCTGAGGGTGAAGTTTTTCTGAATGAGAAGAACTTTGTTCAACCACTATCATTAAACATGGGATGCCTTTAGAAACTAGCTTTTGCTGCAAACTTGATGTTTCTTAATGAATTCAACCTCACATTTCAAGGCAAATCAGAGCTTATGTGCAAAGCTTATTCTGCTGCAAAGTCATTTCAATGACAACTAATATTTGAATCGCAAGTAATGTGAAAATGCTTTATATATTTCACATGCTGTCCAAGTTTAAAATAAGAAGAGATATCTCCATTCTCACAAATATTTTCCACACATATGGATTCTGAGCACAAACTCCAGTTCCAACAGCATTTTTTAGATCCTAATGCAAATGCAAAAGAAATATACATATTTCAAAATTCACTTAACAGTACAACTGAGGAGCATCCACCCAAACCCTTCTTAATCTGCAACGTAACAGTGTGCTGAAAGGCAAACATCCAAAGAATCTAACTAAATTCTATAAATGACTTCCAAGCAATGGATATGCCCAATTGAAATAATATGCTTATGGACAGATACCAGCATCCAACAATGCTATCGGTGTGAAAGAACATTTCCAAAGATGAACTATATAAAATTTTATTACAGATTGGCATTAACAGATAAGCATTTGCAATAGGTTGTTTACAATAAACTTTATTGAGATAGAACTCACACACCATGCAATTCGCCCATATAAAGTGTACAGTCCAAAAGCCTTGTAGTATATATTCAGAGTTGCGCGATAATTAGCATGATTTTAGAAAATTTTCATCATTCCAAAAAGAAACTCCACATCCATTAGCAGTCACCCCACATTTTCTCCAACTCTCTAAAGCCCTTGGAGATCAATAATTTACTTTCTGTCTCTACAGATTTGCTTATTCTGAAAATCACACATAAATGGAACCATACGATATGTGGTCCTTTGTTACTGGCTTCCTTCACCCAGCACGTTTTCAAGGTTGATCCATGTTGTAGCATTTATCAGTGTTTTATTTCTTTTTATTGACAAACAACATTTCATTATACAAATGTGCCACATTTTGCCTACTCACTCATCAGCTGATGAACACTGGGTTGTCTCCACTTTCTATTATGAATAATGCTGCTATGAACATTCATGTACATATATAAATGCTTGTTTTCATTTCTCTTGGGTATAAATTTAGGAGTGGAATTGCTAAGTCACATGGTAACTCTATATTTAATCTTTGAAGTAAATTCCAGTCTGTTTTCCAAAGAGGCTGCACCATTTTATACTCCCACCAGCAGTGTGTGAAGGTTCCAATTTTTCCACATCTTTGTCAACTTTTTATTAATTTTTATTAAATACTATAAGGAGCTTCATCATTGGAGGGTGTTTTCCAAGGAGTTCTCTAAATTTGATCTTTGCTGAGAAGTGATTTCTTAATTTTAGCAAATCCTGTTGTCTTGATGAGATTATCTCCAAAACCATGAAGCCCTGGATCCTTTTTGTTTAATGGTCTTTCCTATAGTTTTTAATCTCTCCTTATATGTTACCATAATCAAGAAGCCAGATGGCACCTGCAACACTCGGTCAGGAAATCTCTCTAGTGAGATCATATTAGGCACATGTTTTACTTTCAGTCTGCCACTACGTAAGTTCTTCCTTCCTCCAGTTTTCCAATAACATTTACCTCACTCTTCTAGAAGTCCTCATCTACAGCCTTGTCAGACATGATGCTGCTATAGTTTCTTCAAAGCACTTGAGGTTTTTACCAGCGCATGCCTACTTAACACCCACTGCCAAGTTCCAAAACCCCTCCCATATTTTGGGTTTTCATTATGGCAGCTGCCCACCTCCAAGTACCAAGTTCTGTATCAGTTATCTGTTGCTGCATAACAAATTACCCCAAAACCTACCAGTTAAAACACGTACTAACCCAGAGTTTCTGGGGGTTAAGAAGCCAGAAGTGAGTGGTTTAGCTAGGTCTTTCTGGCTCAGCGTCTCACATGAGGTTACAGGCAAGTAGTTGGCTGTGGCTGCAGTCCTATTTGAAGGCTCAGGCAAGAGAGGATCCACTTCTAAGCTCACTCACATGGTTGCTAGAAGGCCAAAGTTTGTTGCTGGCTGTGGGCCATGGGCTTCAGTTACTTACTACATGGAACTCTCCACAGGCCGTGTCCTCACGATAAGGCAACTGGTTTCTGAAAGGACAAGTGATTCAAGAGAGCACATGCCTATGCAGAAGCCACAGTCTTCTCATAACCAAATATTTTAAGTGACATCACATCACTTCTATCATATTCTATTTATTAGAAGTGAGTCAAATTACTATTTTCCTGCTGAAAAATTTGACATTTCCATCAATTTCTGGAATGGTCACTTTCTGAAACAGTGTTATAATATCTAAAGTCTTTGTCTCATAATTCCAACATCTGTGTCATCTTGGGGTTAGTGTCTGTTGTCTTTGAATTGTTGAAAATTTCCTGACTCATGTATTTCACGTGATTCTGCATTGCATCTTGGACATTTTGAATATTACGAGCCTCTGGGTATTTAATTCTTCCAGAAAATGTTAGGGTATTTTTTCCAGCAGGCAATTTAACTGGCTAAGTCTTGGTGACCAGTTCCAATCCATCTCCTGTGGGCTGTGGTTCTAATGTCAGTCCAGTTTTCTAAGTATTCTCAGTGCTATTTGGATCTTTGCCCAGTGTCAGACCCAAACAATTATCGGGTCAGACCTATATATGTATAGACCAGGGGAGAGCCCCAGATTGCATAAACAACTGTTATGAAATCACTTTCTTGACCTTCCTTATCTTTGTCACCACCTTGACACCTTCCACCTCTCAGGAGCCACTTCCTCTTCCTGATCTTCAGGTTAGAAATCCAAGGGTTTAGGTTCTCCTCTCTGCTACACACCTCATGGATACATCACCTCCAGGTCCAAGTAGCAGGAAGATAGATAGGGAAGAAAAGCAATGGGGAGTCTCCTAACCCTTTTTGGCTCACAAATCCTCTGCCCAGAGTGAAGGGTTCCTAACTCTGAGGTTTAGATGCCTGCTCAGCCATCTCTGTCCTCACCACAGGAATGCCCAGGAGCGCCACAATGATCTTGTTTCAAATTCTAGTTTCCTTCCCAAATCTGCCTGTTGTTATCAATCATTACTTTTGAGGGTCCCCAGACAGCTGCTCCATGCCTTAGTTACATTTAGCATGAGAGATAAAGTGGAACATGCTCATTCCATTTAAAGGAGAACTGGTACCACCTAGTTACTTTATTGCCAATGATTACATCCCTGGAGGATAAACTCTCAAACAGGAACTTCCTAAGAATATAAATGGAGAATTCTGATTGAAAGA
Source organism: Homo sapiens (assembly GCF_000001405.40). NCBI lineage: Eukaryota > Metazoa > Chordata > Mammalia > Primates > Hominidae > Homo > Homo sapiens. Next base: position 179,083,551 of record NC_000005.10, on the reverse strand, counting down.
TTAATATTCATCACTTCTTTATCCAATCACTTTTTGCATTTTTATTAAAAATTGACACACATAGAAAAATGTTTTAAATGACCAATGAACATCCACCACATATAGATCCACCACAAAAAACAATTGACTGATTTTGTACATATTTATTTGAAAATATGCTGTCAACATCATGACTTTTCAAAACTTAAAAAAAAAACTTCTGCATGCATCTCCTAAGAATTAGAACATTATCCTACGTAACTCAATTATCACTTCTAGAAAAATCAAATATACCACATTATCTACTACCCATTCCATCTTCCTATTTCCCCAAATATCCCCCCAAATGTCTCTTATAGGTTTTTTTATGAATCAGAAGCTAATAAAGGATCACACTTTCCATTTGGTTATGTCTCTTGTCTTAATCTAGCAGAGACCACTTTTTGTTTTACTACATTTGCTTTTTGAAAAGTCCAGACCAGGGCCAAAATGCACAAACTATGGCTTACAACATCACACCCCTGCGTAGGGCCAGTGGAATGTGTGCAAGATCAGTTTGGCTTCATTAACTATGAAGTAGGGGATAGCAAGAAGCTCTTTTTCCATATGAAAGAAGTTGAGGATGGCCTTGAGCTCCAGGCAGGAGATGAGGTGGAGTTCTCCGTGATTCTTCATCAGCGCACTGGCAAGTGCAGTGCCTGGAATGTTTGGCGAGTCTGTGAGGGCCCCAAGGCTGTTGCAGCTCCTCGACCTGATCGGTTGGTCAGTCGCTTGAAGAACATCACCCTGGATGATGCCAGTGATCCTCGCCTAATGGCTCTTCGTCAGCCAAGGGGACCAGATAACTCAATGGGGTTTGGTGCAGAAAGAAAGATCCGTCAAGCTGGTGTCATTGACTAACCACATCCACAAAGCACGTCATTAATCCACTATGATCAAGTTGGGAGGAATCTGGTGAAGGTTTCTGAATATCTCCCTCTTCATCCCTCCCGAAATCTGGAATACTTAGTTCTTTTGAGCTATTACACCAGTTTTAACAGCTTCCTCGTGTTATGTTTAAAAAAATAAATTTAAGAAAACCATTTTAAAATAAATATATAAAAAAAAGTCCAGTTGTCCTATACCAACTCTGGACTTGTCTATTTATTTCCATACTGTGTAATTCAACTTGTTCCTCTATTCCTGTATTTCTTTAAACAGGAAGATAAGTCTAGACAAAAGATTTAATTAAATTTGAGGTAAACATTTTCGGCAGTACATCAAGGATGATCACACATGCTTCATACCGCATCCCATCAAGAGCCACATAATGCTGGCTTATTCCAGAAGTAGTGAAATGCAGTTTGATAGCCAAATCTCACTGTAAAGGCAATTCTTTTGCAATAGATATCTGTGATGTTCTGACACCTTGTAAACAAAGTTCCTTAAAATTTTTTCCACTTAATGGGTTTTACCATCGATTTTTGCCAGATTTAATTACATTAAGGGTTGTAAAATGGTAATTTTTCCAAATCTATCATTCCATGTACATTTAAAAGAAGACATTCTTCAAATAATTGTATAGAGTTTTCTTTTTTCTCTACTTTCATCATTATGAACTTCTTTTCCTTCTTAGTATTATCACCAGTAAGAGTGATTATTCTAAGTTGTCCTAAATTTGGCCAGTGAGAATACCTTCAACTTGGCGCCTGTTCCCTTCTGACATTACCCCATTAGTCTTCAAATACTATCTTGCTTTTTATTTTATTTTCTTAATAAAAAGTATTTTAGCCACACCACCCACTTCCCCTGCTCCAAACATGGAATCAGCCATTTCTCCAAGGAACCCTGGTTCCTTTTAGTGGGGAATGGCATTTAGAAACCAAAATTTGGGTACTAAGCATGCTCACCACTACTGGGTACAATGTTAAATAGTGAGGTCTGTTTAAAAGCCTCATTTTCTTTGTAAATGTATTTAAATACATAAAATAATTACTTTCTGATAAGCTAAAACCAGTCGGTTAAGAAATATACTATACTGACTGCTTGAGTTTAATTCTAACATTTTTCTCAGAAGGTCTAGCTAATTGTATTAGAATTTTTTTTAATGATACCAACTGTGAATTGAATGAAAAATCAAATATAAAATTGGAGGAAAAACGCCTGGGAGGAATTAAACATTTAAACTGATGAAAGGAATGCTTAATAATAAACTCTTCATATATAACTTTCCATAAAATAATTAATTCCTAAAATATGTGTAATAAGAAGGCAACCTTATATGTGAAGCCTCCAAAAGCAATTACACTATCTGGACCTCAGCTAGCTTTAAGGATTTAAGTACAATTATAACAAAAGCAGGCATAATTAGGGACTCATAAGAAAAAAGAATATAGTTGTGAGTCAATTATTAAGATTAAGGTGAGAGGAAGCCCTTAAAGATAACACAGTAACTTTAAATTACTGCAACTATGTCTAACCAGGCTACAAAACAAATAGTACTCTTGGGACCTCAGGTTGGAAACGAGCCTATAATGATCACAAAACACCAGAACCAAAGACCTAGATTCTAGTCTTGACTCTGTTCACTAAGTTCAAATCCTTCGTTAGTACAATGAAAGGCTATAATTAAACTAAAATCTCTCCTGGCTCTAATGAGCTACCAGACATGCAGCCTGAGATTCTGCCAAATACATCCCTTCTGCAACAGATAACAAAGTATGTGCTTGACAGTCTTTCCAGCTGCTTCAGTTAATCCGCCTTCTACGGTACTGTAATAGTACTCTGTTCAGTTATATAAAACCACATCAATTTAAGAAATAATGGAAGAAAGTAAAAGAAAGAGAGTCTACCTTTGGGCAAGATTTTAAGAACTAAATTCTAAATCAATAAAACTACATTTTTTAATAATAAAGGACTTTTATGTTTACACACACACATGCATATGTGTATATATGTATGTTTACATATATAAGTTGCTGGTGGGACAGCTCATATAAAGAGCTTTATTATTTCCATGTGAAGAGTTAAATTTAAAATTCCTTTTTATGTTTAGCTTCTCTTTATGAAAAGAAGTGCCTCCTATGTTAGCCAGCTATTTTAAAGAAGGCCACACACTTATTTACATTATTAACTCAGTGACTGTTTTTAAAAGAAAATTCACATATTGAAGCTTACTCTTTTAAAGGGAATATGGTCTTATGAGAGAAACAAAATGTATATTCAACTATTTTTCATGATTTTTAAAAAGACCTTTTACATTTTTTCTATGAATTAAATACTCATAGGTTTTTAGATACCTTAGAATTTATGGTTCTTTTAAAATTTAACAAGTCAGTGCTCTTCATAGTCTCACTGATCAATTTTATCATGACTTAGTGGCAACTAACATATTTCCTTCAGGAGAAGTAAAAAAGACAAATCTATTAGGAGTTTGTACCCTATTTATTATTCCCTTATTCCCCAGTGAGAAGTCTTGGATTATTTGAGAGATGAACTAAACCTCATAGGCTTTATCTCCTTTAAAAAATCTCTGATACTGGGTAAGTGAGGAGCTGCAGATGAAAGGTTTCCCATATTCCTTCCACTTATAGAGTTTCTCTTTCGTGTGAACTTTTTTGTGTCTACAAAGGTTTGATCTGTAACTGTAGGCTTTCCCACATTCCATACATTTATACAGTTTCTCTCCAGTGTGGATCCTCTCATGTTCGGTTAAAAATGAATACTGGCTGAAGGCCTTTCCACACTGATTACACTGATACGGTTTCTCTCCAGTATGAATTCTCTGATGCCTATAAAGGTTAGATTTGCAACCAAAGGCTTTCCCACATTCCTCACATGTATAAAGTTTTTCCCCAGTATGAATTTTCCGATGTTCATTAAAGGATGAATACTGGTTGAAGGCTTTCTCACATTCGTTGCACTGATAAGGTTTTTGTCCAGTGTGAATTCGCTGATGTTCGATAAGGGTTACAATACGTGTGAAGGTTCTCCCACATTCCAAGCATGTATACAGTTGTTCTCCAGTATGAAACCTCTGATGTTCAGCTAGAGATGTAAACTGGCTGTATCCCTTCCCACACTCACTACATTTATAGGGTTTCTCACCTGTATGGATTCTTTGATGCCTGTGAAGTTTTGCTCTACAGTTGAAGGCCTTCTCACATTCGCCGCATTTATAGAGTTTCTCTCCAGTATGAATTCTCTGATGTACAGTGAGGGTTGAACACTGGCTAAAGGCTTTACCACATTCCCTACATCGATACGGTTTCTCTCCAGTATGCACTCTCAGATGTTTGATAAGGGTTGAACTGTTGCTAAATGCCTTCTCACATTCATTACACTTGTAAGGTTTCTCTCCAGTATGAATTCTCTGATGAGAAAGAAGGGATGATCTGTGGCTGAAGGTTTTTTCACACTCATTACATTTGTAGGGTTTCTCACCTGTATGAATTCTCTGATGTTCAATAAGATGCAGATTCTGCTTGAAGCTCTTCCCACATTCATTACAGATGTGAGGTTTTCCTCCTGGGTAAATCTGGAAGCATTTCATGAGATCAAAATTCTGTTTAAAATCTTTCCCAAATGTATAATACATATTGGGTATCCTTTCTATAGGAACACTCTGTTGTGTGACAAGAGCTGTATTTGTAAATAAGCTTTTCCCCAATTCAAGACTTGTATGGTTTCCATCTTCACTGATGGTTTTCTCATGCGAATCTATCATTTGTCTAAGAGGTTTCTTCTCTTGCTCTTCTTCTATCTCGCTCTCAAATTCCACAGCTTCTTCAAAGTTAATGTCCCAGTGACCATCCTTAATGGATTCTTTCTTTACCATTCCCTGAGATGTTTCTTCTATAAAAATGTCCTGTCTATGAGGCAATGCTTCTGTTTCAAGCCAAGTCTTGAAACCTAAAATGAATCAGAAGAATTAATGCCTCCTCTGCTGGAAGAAACAAACTGATGTATCGGTGAGACAAAAAAACTGGTAACAGTATATATGAAAGAAGAGTGATACAATCAGATTTCAAATGCTGACTTGAATCTTGGGAAGAACAGGATGGGATAAAGGAAAGTGAGGTAAACAGGTTAAGGAATGGCATGGGAGAATACACTGGACAAATTAACAATGAAAATGAAGCGATTCCACCTGGATATAGTAAAGTTAGATGCAGAAGAACAGGCTGAGTAGAAGATATGAGGATACAGAAAAATGCCAAATGATAAGCCCACGCTGAATACCATGGGATACTCCACTCTGTCATCATTTTCCACTATGCATATACCAGGCAATGAAGTAGGCAGCCTGTCCACCTTCTCCTTCTTACTCACATGTCCCTTTCATTACGTTTTCTCCCCATGCTCTCTCTGAAACTCTATGCCCGATAATCTTTTAAATATTTGGATTGGTTTTCTTAAATTTCTTTACTTCATGTGACTGTGATTTTATATTGTAGTCTGTGAAGGGGGAAACAGTCTGTTAAAGAGAAGACAGGCCGGGCGCGGTGGCTCACACCTGTAATCCCAGCACTTTGGGAGGCAGGTGGATCACCTGAGCTCAGGAGTTTGAGACCAGCCTGGAGAACATGGTGAAACCCCGTCTCTACCAAAAATACAAAAAATTAGCTAGGCGTGGTGGCATGTACCTGTGGTCCCAGCTACTGAGGAGGCTAAGGTGAAAGGATCGCTTGAGCCTGGGAGGTGGAGAGTGCAGTGAGCTGTGATCACACCACTGCACTCCGGCCTGGGTGACAGAGACTCATCTCAAAAAAAAAAAAAAAAAAAGGAGTGGGGGGACATTCAGGTTTTGAAAATCACAACAGCCCTGCAGCATGACTGTGATGATTCTATGTGATCGAAGTTTAAGATGCTCATTATAAAAAAGAGGAAAACATGGAGTAAATCACCCCTGTGCAACAATCTGTCCCTGGTGATTGGAAGAATAACAATTTTTTTCATATTACCTTTCTTTTTATTTTCCTCTTTTTATTTTATCACAAAGAGAGACATATTCATTTCTTCTAATAAGCTGCAACCAAAAGACTGCACTCTCTTTGTAGGAATCTCTTGAGAATAATGAAAATCTGCAGGAGATTTGAAGTCAGTATGTCTTAAAGTCCTGAAAAATGCCCAAGCCCCAAGCTCAGCTTTGATTCTGGGTGAAAAGATTTAGTTCGAGGTGACTCTAAACTACTCTCTGTTAAAACCTGATTTCCTTTCATCAATCCATGATAGAAAATAGGTTAACATTAGATAACTGCAATTAGGTAATTGTGTGTACTTTAACCTATACAACTCAAACAAAATACAACTGGCCTGAGCATCTCAAGAGGACTCAGTATTTCCAAGAGTTTCCCAAGAACTGCCTCTTTGTGACCTACTTGTCTATAAAGAACCCCTTGTGCCCATTTCCCAGCCTCTCACTTACCTAGACGGGTATCTGAAGGGACTTCTCTTTCCACCATGCAGGGATCTTCTCCTTGCTGCAACTGATGAATCAACTTTGGCATTGAAAATGGAATCCCTGCTCATGAGGAAGCAAATGAAGTTTGAACAAATAGCATGAAGACCAATCCTAGAACTGACCTACTACTCACTCTGAACCAACACAGCAAAGAAGGCAAGCCCTGAGAGGCAGACAAGGCAGCACAAGCACTTCGCAGGGGCACTGGAGCTGTCAATGGCCGGGGAAGGTCTCAGTTCAGAACCATTATAGGGCCCTGACAATGAAGGCCTCTAAGATGGGGGGTCCCTATGTGTTTTTCAGAATCTAAACTGGGATCTCTAGTCATTGGCCTACTCCAAGGAGGGAACTGATTGGCGGTAGGATGTGAGGGAGAGTGGAGGGTAGAGAAACAGATAGCAAGAAGGGCATCACAACAAAGATGTACACTTTCCACTCTACAGCAATTCAGCCTTTCTGAGGGGCTCAGTAGGGTACAAGACCACAGGCTCGGAACCCCAAAGATGGACCTGTGAGGCGTTCCTATAACAGATTCTTCGTCATAGGCAAAAATTCTTACCCAGTGAGACCAGGCTGCTGTAGTTCTCCAGCATCACCTCCCGGTACAAGGCCCTCTGGGCAGAGTCCAGGTGCAACCACTCGTCCTGGCTGAAGAACACGGCCACATCCCTGAATGTCACAGGCTCCTGTAATGGCAAACCCATACCTGCTCACCCAGGACCATCTTCTTCAACGGAAAATGCAGGAAGAAAGTGACAGTGGGATGTACAGAAAATCTCAGGATTCTAATAATTCACGTCAACTGTTTACGTAATTTTTGGAACCACCCATTAGCTATTTAATTAAAAAAGTATTTATGGAGTACTCATTGAGAACAATGACACATGCCACGTGCAGTGGGAGTAGGGGAAAACAGGCAAAGTTCCTGCCAACAGGCAATTTAAATACCAGCCTGGGATCTTTCTCAAGAGAAGGCGATGTGATGACAGAAGCAGAGACTGGAGTGCTAGGCTCGGAAGATGGATGAGAGGGCCACAAGCCAAGGGCTGCAGGGAACCACTAGACGGTGAAAAGGGCAAGGAAACAGATTTTCCCCTGAGAGCCCTAGAAGGACCCAGCCCTGCCGACAGCCTGACCTCAAGCCAGTAAAACTGAATTCAGACTTCTGACTTCCAGAACTGTAAAAGAATACATTTATGCTGTTTCAAGATGCTGCATTTGTAGTAATTTGTTACAGCAGCAATAAGAAAGAAATACAATGTGAACAATTGAAGACAACCTACATATCTATCAATAAGGGAATGGATAAGCAAATTTCAGTACATTTATTCCATGAAACGTCATGCAGCCGCTAAATAGAATGAGGTAGATCTCTATGACACTGGAATTTGACCTTCATATATTATTGATTCATATGAAAAAGCCAGCCACAAAAGAATCTATATTTGTTGAAAAACTCTACATCTGTATATACATATATATGACACATGCACAACTATCTGGAAGGATACAAGCTGTCACCCTCGTTATTCTTTGATATTTGTGGAGAGGGGCAGAAAAGCAATCTTTCACTTATTACTTTATGCCCTATCATTAGGCTTACAGTTTTTTACAGTTAGGGAGATTGTGTGTATGTATGTGTGTTCCTTTGCTTTGAATTTTCTTAAATTCCATTTTATTTTATTTTATTTTATTTATAATTTTTTTTTTGAGATGGAGTCTTGCTCTGTTGCCAGGCTGGAGTGCAGTGGTGCAATCTCAGCTCATTGCAACCTCTGCCTCCCAGGTTCAAGCAATTCTCCTGCCTCAGCCTCCTGAGTAGCTGGGACTACAGGCACATACCACCAGCTTATTTTTTTTTTTTCTTTTTCTGAGACAGAGTCTCACTCTGTCGCCCAGGCTAGAGTGCAGTGGCGCGATCTCAGCTCACTGCAAGCTCTGCCTCCCGGGTTCACACCATTCTCCTGCCTCAGCCTCCCGAGTAGCTGGGACTACAGGCGCCCACCACCACACCCGGCTAATTTTTTTGTATATTTGTAGAGACGGGGTTTCACCATGTTGGCCAGGATGGTCTGATCTCTTGACCTCATGATCCACCTCCTGCCTCAGCCTCCCAAAATGCTGGACTTACAGGTGTGAACCACTACACTTGGCCTATTTTAACTTATATGTTGACTTTGTAGTTAGACCTCTTTGTATTTTTAGTGGTTACTCGAATAATTATAATGTACATTTTTGGTTACTCATCACCTATTTAGAGCTAATATATCGTTTCACATAGAATGCAAGAATCTTGCAAGTATATAGGACATCACCACCCTTCTTTATGCTATAGTTTTACAAAGATTTTCCCAGTTCAGAGAGTTGACAGCACTTACCAAACTTCACTGAGCGTATTCATGTCAAGGTTTTTATTGAAAGGCAAAGGGTACAGCACAGCAAGAGAAAGAGAGTTCAGGGAAGCACTAGAAAGCCAAGAGACACTCCATGTGCTGTCTCCCTTATTTGCACAGACCACGCCATGACTCTGGGTCTGTGTGAAGAATCTTGGTGTGGGAGAGCTCAAAGGAGGAACTCTCAGCAGGGGCCTTTTTATGTAATCAAGCAAGTCCTGTCAAATCATTTAGGCCAGTTGCAAGCCATCAGTAAGGAAGCTTACCAGGAGTAGCCAGTGGCATTGAGATCTTAAAAATACACAAGCCAGGCCGGGTGTGGTGGCTCACGCCTGTAATCCCAGCCCCTTGGGAGGCAGAGGTGGGCGGATCACCTGAGGTCAGGAGTGCGAGAACTTCCTGGCCAACACAGTGAAACCCTGTCTCTACTAAAAAAAAAAAAAAAAGTACAAAAATTAGCCAGGCGCGGTGGCTCACACCTGTAATCTCAGCACTTTGGGAGGCTGACGCGGGCGGATCACGAGGTCAAGAGATGGAGACCATCCTGGCCAACATGGTGAAACCCCATCTCTACTAAAAATACAAAAATTAGCTGGGCATGGTGGCACGTGCCTGTAGTCCCAGCTACTCGGGAGGCTGAGGCAGGAGAATCACTTGAACCGGGAGGTAGAGGTTGCAGTGACCCAAGATCACACCACTGCACTCCAGCCTGGGAGACAGAGCGAGACTCTTTCTGAAAAAACAAACAAAACAACAACAACAAAAACTTACACAAGCTGATGGCTGGGTTCAGTGGCTCACACCTGTAACCCTAGCACTTTGGTAGGCCAAGGTGGGTGGACTGCCTGAGCTCAGCAGTTCAAGACCAGCCTGGGCAACATGGTGAAACCCCATCTCTACTAAAAATACAAAAAATTAGCCAGGCTTGGTTGCATGCACCTGTTGTCCCAGCTACTCAGGAGGCTGAGACATGAGAATTGTTTGAACCCAGGGAAGCTGCAGTGAGCCAAGATCACACCACTTCACTCCAGCCCTCTGTCTCAAAAAACAGAAACAAAAACAAAACAAAAAACAAAAAACAACAACAACAAAAAACCATGCTGCCTTTATCTTGTTTTGGCCAAGAGTCAAAAAAATAGACCACCAAGAATTCCCAGAGATAAAAATAGAGCTTTTCTAGAGAAAAAGATAGAGCTTTTCCAGTCCAGATGTAAATAAATTCTATCTTCATGGTGGTTATTTGTATTATAGCTGCCTACATTGTAAACCCCCTCCTATAATACAATAGTATTATTTTGCTTTAAGCAATCAGCTGCACTTTAAAGAAATCGAAAGGAAAAAAAGTATTTTATATTTATCCAGATAGCTACCATTTCTAATGCTCTTCATTCTTCCTAAAATCAGAGTTCCCCTCTGGTATATTTTTCTTTTAACTTACATAACTTCCTTTTTAGTGTATCTTATAGTACAGGCCTGCTGGCAATGAATTAGCTTAATTTTATTTTACCTGAAAATGGCTTTATTTCATCTTGATTCTTGAAGAGTATTTTCATTGGATATAGAATTCTGGGTTGATTTTTTTTGTCTCTCTCTTTCAGCATGTAAAATGTCATTCTATTGCTTCCTGGTCTTTGTTGTTTCTGATGAGAAGCCAGCGGTCATTCAAATATTGATTCTCTGTATGTAGTACAATTTTTTTCAGCCTCCTTTCAAATCTTTGTTTTTTGTGATTTCTCTATGACTTTCCCCAATATGGTAGAAACCAGCTAGCTATATGTGGCTACTAAGTACATGAAATGTGGCTCTTCTGAATTGCGATATGTTATCTGTATAAAATACATACCAGATTATTTACTTAAAAACATACATACACACACATACAACATATACATACATACATACACAAACATATATGCAAGTTATCTCAATAATTTTATATTGATTTCATGTGGAAATAATATTTGGATCTACTGGGTCAAAGAAAATATATTATTAAAGTTAATTTATTTGCTTCTGTTTACTTTTTTAATGTAGCTGGTGGAAAATTTTATATTAGGTATGTGGCTTGCATTCTTGGTTCACACTATATTTCTATTGCATGTCACTGATCAATGATGTGTGTAGCTGTGACTTCCTTTGTATTTATCCTGCTTGAGATTCATCAAATGTTATAAATCAGTAAATTTATGTTTTTTACCAAATTTGATAAATTTTAGGCCATTATTTCCTTTTAATATAGTTTGTCCATTCTTTGTCCCCTCTCCTTCTAGAACTCTAATTTCATGTATATTAGACCTTTTAATATCATTTAATTGGTAACTGAGGGCCTTTTTTCTCCCTGTTTTTCAGATAGGATAATTTCTGTCAATCTACCTTCAACTGTCACTGACTTCTCCTTATGTTCATTTCCAAAAGTTAAGCCTATTCAGTAATTTTTTTTTTTTACAATTTCAGGTATCTTATTTTTCAGTTCTAAAACTTCATAGTCTAGAATTACTTTTTTCACAATCTCTATTTCTCTGCTTGCATTTCCTATTAGTTCATTCTTTACATGTATATTTTCCTTTAAGTCCTTGAGCACAGTTATAGTAGTTGCTTTAAAATCTTTGTGAATTCTAATATCTGGGTCATCTGGGTCATTGTCTCTATTGATTGTCTTCCTCTTGAGTTTTGGTTACACTTCCCCATTTCTTCATATGCCTACCTTATCCTGGAAATTGTACAGTACACAATGTGTAGAAACTCTGGATTTTGTTATGTTCCTTTGAAGAGTACTGACTTTTTTAAGCAGGTAGTTAATTTAGTTGGAGTCAAATTCCGAACTCTGCCACCTCTCTAGTGGGCAGCATCAAATATCTTTGTTCAGTTCTTATTTGGGCTACTTTGAGTCTGTCCTGTGCATGTATGGTTCAGGGGTCAGCTAGAGATTTGGGCAGAGTTTGTGCACAGAATCTGGGGCTTCCCTTCTCTGCCTCTCTCCTTTCCAAGATTCCTCCTCTCACTTTCCAACTGCTAAGTTTGCCTCAAACTCTATCTTGTGGTTATTCACACCAGTAAGACTGCAAGTTTGTGACTAAGTTTTGATTATTCTGTTGGTGCTGACTGTGGCCTACTCCCAGGCAAAAAGCTGTAAAAAACAGAAAATTTATCTGGTGACAATTCCTTCTTCCAAATATACACAGGTGTCTAATATCTGTCTGCTTTTGATTTCTCTCCAGTACCTTAAGGTTTCTTATATTTTATCCAGAGTGTAGTAGTTATCCACAGATGAATTAGTCTGAAAGGAGCTATTTCTCTATTACCAGAAGCTGGAAGCACATGTATCTTTTTGAAAGTATATTTTAAAAAGTAAAAAAAAAAAAAAAAAAAATGAGCCTGGCAAAGTCATTAAATATTAAGAAATGATAAAATGACCGACTACTAGAACTCCAGACCTGAAACACATCTTATCAATCATCTCATCCAGTTGTTCTCGTTAGCGTGTGGTATCTCCTCCCACCTCCCTAGAGTGAGTAGCAATGTGTGAGGGTGTTTCATTTTTCACAGTGACTAAGGGAGTCCTGCCGGCATTTAAAAAAAGAGATCAGGGTCAGGCACAGTGGCTCACGC